>NC_000010.11:10161515-10313030 GCF_000001405.40 Homo sapiens | reverse complement strand
CTTGCTTAGTTTTGTCCCATTTATTGAGAACTCTAAAAGACTGGACTGACGTTTAAGTCTTAATTTAATTAAGATTTAAATGGCAATCTGCTTACTTCATCTTCCATTCAATTTACATCAATAAGCACCTGCCAAAAGAATATTCAGATGCATTTTGATTGAAAGTTTGTTTTAGTAATTATCATGTCAATCTCAGACTTTTTGGGTTGTCTTTTTTTATAACTTCTTCACCACTACCATACTTCCTATGTGGTAAAGTGTCTTCGATTGTAAGAGGAAACACAAATATAAAAACCAATTTTGGAAAAGAAAAAAAGAAACATTATTTTTATTGTAAGACACATGTTGATTCAGAAAAGTAAAAATATGAAACAAAAGTACATCTACAACAATACTCAGGGTCTTACTTCCATTTAATCTGGGATATTTTAATGACTTCATACCAGAATTGTCTTTACATTTGCTTCCAAATAATTCTGGAAATTCTCCAGAAAAGAGCCCCTAGGTCCAGCAGGCTATTTCAACTCCCTACTCTTAATGACAAGGAGGAAAAAAAAATTGCTGGTCTTATTGAATTTGAACACTTTTCTCTTGAACAATGTTGAGCTATGATCTGAATTATTCAAGCTTATCTCTGAGTACTCTAGATTTTATTGTCTTATCCTTTAAAAAAATCTGCCTTTTTTTTCTGATTTAAGACACAAGATCGATTCTCAACCAACTATTATTTTTTTTTTTGGTTCTGCTTCAGGGATGCTAAATTCCAATCCTAAAAAACAGATGTGGTACTTGTTGCCTCTCTGATGTCCCCTCCAGATCTACTCCACCCATCTCCGCCCTGCTGGAGACAGCATCCATGGATTGCATCACCCAGACTCACTTGTGCTCTGAATTCTCTTTGGAGTCAGCCAGTATGAGGCATCAGCAGTAGATGAGAGGGTAGGAGGAGAAATCTCTCAGAATACTTATATCCTCAGCCCTTCTCTCCAGAGGCATGGGTCAGCAATGGCTACATCACTACCAGTGGCCAAGGCTCCTGTTGAATGACCCTCTGTAAAGCTATGGGTCTTACGAGTTTCTTGAAAGCTCTTCCCTACTCCCTCAGGCCTCTCACTCATCCCAACCTGTGACTAGCCTTGGATAATTCACCAGTTTTTCTTGGTTACTTTACTCTACCAGTATGGTTATAAATGGACACTTTCTTAGACTCTCCTCAATCACCACATTTGAGTGATATGCCATCTTCTCCCTGCCAGGACCCTGCGTAATAGAAGATCACCTTTATATAATTTTTTTAAAAAATAGCATATTAGTATACACTCACTCATGTATACAAAATGATAGATACAGATAGATAAATAGATACATTGAGATATAAGATCATTTATCTGTATTTGGTAGTATTATGGTTAACACTTGTCTCCTTTGTATTATAATCCTTTCCATATTTTCATGTCGAACATGTTTTACTTTAAAAAAAAATCGATATGGGTAACAAAATACAAGGACGTCATGTGATTCCACATCAGCTATGAGCTAGACGCTATTTGTCACTATCACTTTTAATACCCGGTTAATTCCCTTGGCCATTCCACTGTCTATTTTCTTTTATTTATTTATTTGTGTGTGTGTGTGTGTGTGTGAGAGAGAGAGAGAGAGAGAGAGAAAGAGCCAGAGACAGATTCTCACTCTGTTGCACAGGCTGGAGTACAATGGTGTGATCTTGGCTCACTGCAACCTCCGCCTCCCAGGTTCAAGCGATTCCCCTGCCTCAGCCTCCTGAGTAGCTGGGATTACAGGCATGCCACCACACTTGGCTAATTTTTGTATTTTTAGTAGAGATGGGGTTTCACCATGTTGGTCTGGCTGGTCTCTAACTCCCGACCTCGTGACCCGCCTGCCTTGGCCTCCCAAAGTGCTGGGATTACAGGTGTGAGCTACTGCGCTCGGCCCACTGTCTGAGTATTTTCTAATCATCCTGGCATGCCCAAACTACCCTTCCTGCATCCTTTCCTACCAATTAGCTCTCATTTTAAAGAAGAAAAGCAAGTACAACTGATGTGAAGTCCTCCAATTTCCTTTGTCATTACTTCGAAACTCAATAGTTTTAGTACCAATATATTTTTCTCTAACACCAAGAAATTTGAAGCAATTTTTCTTTCCACATGCACATGCACCTGAACATGTAAAACCATCTGCTCTCACTTTCTGAAGGACGTGTCTTTATGAACCATCTCTTTGATCTCTTAGCTCTCTTCAATCCTCAGTCCTTCCCTCTCCTCTGATTTTCTTTCTTTATCCTTGGTACATATCCTCCATTCTCTGAACTTGGTTTTCAGAGGAAAATGCCTGCTATCCACAGTGCTTATTGTGCAATCCTGTACTATTTTCTCTGCTCCATGCCATCCATTTTGTCCTTTCTTTGTCTCCTCTGAAACTGTGCTTTCAAAGGTCATAAATGTTTCTATGTTTATGCTAATGGCCTAAGCCTCACTGGATTCAGACTCTGTGGTATCTGAGTTTCCAAAAAAATTGTTTTTTTCCTAAATGCTTTTTTTCCTTGGCGTCAGTAACATTCCAGGCACCTTGTGCTTTTAATTTTCCCCTAAAGATTTTTTTCTTGGATTCTTTCACTGACTCTCCCTCTTTACCTCCCGTTTGTTAACAAGCTTTTTTGGTGTGTTCTCAACCCTTATTCCTGTGATTCTCTATACTTCTTAAATAATATTCTTAATTTTAATGACCACAAGTTATATGTTTAGCTCTGTTTATATCTATACAGATATATTCTCAATTATTTCTGTTTCATACTATAGGAAATAAAAAATGCAGTTATTATTATTAAAGACAGGGTGTCACTCTGTTGCCCAGACTGGAGTGCCATGGTATGAATAGGGCTTACTGCCACCTCAACCTCCTGGGCTCAAGTGATCCTCCCGCCTCATTTTTCTAAGTAGCTGGGACTACAGGTACAGGTCACCACACCTAGCTAATTTTTATTTTTATTTTTGTAGAGACAGGGTCTCACTTGGTTGCCCAGGCTGCTCTCGAACTCATGAGCTCAAGTGATCCTCTCCCCTCGGCATCTCAAAGTGTTGGGATTACAGGCATGAGCCACTACACCCCACATGTCATTATTTTGATGAATGGCTTCATATTAGGGTTTCTTTAATTTAGCCTCAAAACTTGATCAACTAAGTGTGTCACAGATATTCTTGCTGCTTTCCCTGACCTAACCCTAACTCCAAATCTCTCTCTGTGTTTGAGACCATTCTCAAGGCTCATTCTGAAGCTTTTCCAAAATCACAAGTCTCATTATAGAATACTTTTTCTTAAATATATCCAAATGTTCTTGATCTCTTCAGAATAAATTTTAAACTCCACAACATGGCACTCAAAGATGGATCCATGTCATGCTCTGTGGTTTTCAAAGTTGTCTCTTATTATTTATCTGTTTTTTGTTTTGTTTTATTTTGTATCTTACTATCCAACAGAGTTGAGCTGTTTGGCAGTTTCTGAAAACATCATGTTCTTAGAAGCTTTCTTTTCATGCTTTCCCACAAAACTGCTCTTTTCCCATCACTACTACTAAAATTGTACTCATGTATAAAGCTCAACTTAAATGTCATTTGTGGGAATTAAATGCTCTTTTTTCTCTATGACCATCACATGTTTTACAACAATAGTCATTGCATGTTTATAGGTATCCATCCTTCATTAAAATGTGAGCCAAGATTCCTTTGCACTCAGTGAAAAACAAAAATATAATTGACAGGTTATTTTATAGCCAAGTTCTAAAATGGAGATGGGGAAAAAGGATGAAAAAACCCTAATAAATATCTAGGGCTAATATGATAGCTTATTGCATTTATTTAATATAAATTGTTATCTTTTTAAGTTATGGTTGTGCCAGTAGATGATTAATTTGGAGATCTCCCACCTTTTATTTTAAATAATTACTCATGAGCTTTTAATTACATATATTTGATGTAAACATGCTTCTAAAATTTGTTTATCCTTTCGATTTACTTAGCGAACTACTTCTTCACATATAGTACAAATGTAAACTTTAGTAGTGTGTCTTTCTGTTATGCATCAATTTCTAATTAAAATTGTCTAGATGACTAAGGAGTTATTACCATATAATACATTTTTTTCATTTTTATGATACTGCAATGCTTCTAAGGTCTTCATAACCATTAATTACTTTTTTGTTTGTTTGTTTAAGATGGAGTCTAGCTCCGTCACCAGGCTGGAGTGCAATGGCACCACCTCAGCTCACTGCAACCTCTGCCTCACAAGTTCATGCAATTCTCCTGCCTCAGCCTCCCAAGTAGCTGGGACTACAGGTGCATGCCATCACGCCCAGGTAACTTTTGGATTTTTAGTAGAGACAGGGTTTCACCATGTTGGCCAGGATGGTCTCGATCTTGTGACCTTGTGATCCGCCTGCCTCCACCTCCCAAAGTGATGGGATTACAGGCATGAGCCACTGCACCTGGCCAATTACTTTTATGCTTATGATTTTGCCATGAGCTAGGGAGGAGGAAAATATTACTTTCCCTGGTTTAAGTACAAATGAAGAGAGAGGCAGTTTGAGTAACTTGTTAAGATCGCTCATGAGATAGGGACAAGTCATGAGCCCAAGTTTCAACTTGGATTTTTGTATCTGGCCTGCAAAGGTTACCTTCATGCTGTCCTTCTATCTACCAAATAGCTTTGAGATGTTAAAATATTCCAACCTTACCACTAATTGTACTGATCTTTGCCAATATTTTCAAAGAGAAAATTAAGCCACGGTAGAAAACTGCTGCGCTCATGTAGTTTCTGGGTTATGTGAGGTTCATTTTTCCCAGGTGGTACATTTTTAGAAAACAGACTCCCCTCTATTTGGCCCAAAAGTGAAAGACTTTGGTTTTCCGAGCTTGTTTTTTTACTTAAAGTGAAAGTACATGTGACCCAAGACAACCTAAAAGAGTGTGAGTGGCACACACCAACTGGAGGCTCTGTCTACAGGCCTGAGTATCTGTTAAGAGTATTCTGAAATCTGGAAAACCTTGTGCTAAATCCTAATTCCACTCCTCAGCGTGGATTTATACTTTGTTTTCCCCAGGAAATGGAGAGCAGCCCATTCATCATTCCCTATTGTTCAGATGATGCTGAATCTCATTTGCCTTGGCTGGCCTGACTTTTAGGATAAGAGTAAATCCCTTAAAGTGGAGGGTTCACTAGAGCAAGCCGATGGGGACAGCCAAGTTGAAATCTCAGTGCTCTGGGGATAGAGGGAAAAAATGCCAAGAAAACATAATCCCCTGTAGAGCCTCCTACCTGGAAGGCCGGCCCAACATTTGAAACCCACCCAGCTGGTGGCAGTGTGCCCAGAATAGTGAGGTACCTGCCTCCCTTAAGCCAAGAATCTCTGGAATGGGAAAGACAGGTAAGTGATGAAAAAAGAGCCTCATTCTAGCAGCACAGATGGCCACCGCCATTGCCTCCAAATGGCTCCCTGGGTCTGACAAAGGGGACAGGCGATCAAACAGACAAAGCCTGAAATGACGGCTCTAAACAGTACTGGAAAGTGTGAAAGGGATGGGGGGCTGGGGGGCAGACAGAAGCAGACATAGTCGATCTATGGAAAAATGACTGCTGTCTCTGCCTGGCAGCATGTTCCTTTGACATCTGTCTTTCTAGGGCTCTTGGATTTTCTCAGCCCTGGAAAGCGAAGATCAGGTGCCTGGGCAGATGATACGCCTAGCTCCTGCTGGGGTAGGGGCTGTGTCACTGTGTTTTGTCAGTTACTCCACCCCAGTGATGGATGGGGTAGTGGGAAAGTCACCACTTCATTGGCCAGACACAGTTCCCTCCCTCCAAACACAGAGCCAGTCCCGCAAACAAAAGTGGAAGGCATTCAAAAGTTACAAAGGGGTTGGGAAAAGAAGAGTAGCTACTGAAAATATAGGCAACAGTCTGCAACATGGGGCCTTCCGGTGAAATGTGATCAATACATGTTAATTCTCTCTGTTTTCATCTTCAATCAGACCCTTTCTACCTGAGCAAGTTTACTTTCTCACCAAGGTCGTTTCTGTACTCACCATTTACCCCACCTCATCCTGACATTCTTCACATTTCTATATACAGGAAATGTATCAGGGTAGGTGTGTTCAGAAATAGAACCATGAAATAGGACCTCTGCTTCATTTAGTATAACCCCTAAAACAACTTGGAAACTTCACATAACATTGATTGCTTCAACATCCCAAGTTTATCTTATTGAACTAGCTAAAACTTTTACAGGTTATTTACTTTTCTTTTTCCAAAGCCTTCCCTGAGAGAGGGTTAAAATCAATGGTTCTGCTCAAATGCTACTCTTGAGGTGTCAATGGACATAATCATTTCTGGAAGTCCTTTCACCGTAGGTGAAACATCCTTAGATGTGTATATACTCTTGGATCCAGGAATTCATTAGAAATTTTCCATAAAAGGATAATCAGAGATGCACTCAATGGTTTATCTATTAACATATTCATGGAAATATTAGACATGGTGCCAAATCCAATAGTATAGTCATTAAATTAACTAAAATATAGTTTATATGGAAGTCTTTAAAAAGACACAGCCATTTAAAAGTAAAATTGTAGAAAAATATTAAATTATACCATTCATGGTCTGTATGTACCAAGTTATTTCTGTGGTAACAATAACACCAAAAACAACCTCCCAAATCCTAGTGGCTTATAGAAATACAGGTTTATACAGTGCTCATAACACACGTCCACGTTGGGCTGATGGAAATTCTGTTCCACTTCTCTTCACTGTGGGATGCAGGCTGCAGTAGGGTGAATTATGACCCCCAGTGATAACCAGGTCCAAATCCCTGGAATCTCTAAATATTACCTTACGTAGAAAAGGGTTTTTGCAGATGTGACTACATGAAGCATCTTGAGATGAGGAGATTATCCTTGGGTTATCTAGGTGGGCCCTAAATATAACTAAAAGTATTGTTATAAGAGAGAGTAAAGAGAGAATTTGACTACAGGCAGAAGAGAAGAATGCCATGCGATAGAAGCAGAGGGAGGCAGTATCTGAGAGAGAAGATATTTTGATGGTGGCTTTGAAGATGGAGAAAGAGACCATGATTGTAAGGATTCATCATGCAAAGGTAAGGATTTGGAGGAATCAAACTCTAGATGTTGTAAAAGGGAACACATTCTTCCCTGGGCCTTCCAGAGGGAGCACAGCTCTGCCAACATCTTAGTTTTAGCCCTATAATACTCACTTTGAACTTCTAGCCTCCAGACTGTAAGAGAACGCATATGTGTTGTTTAAAGCCACCAGGTTTATGGTGGTTCATTATATCAGCCATAAGAAATTAACAGAGACTAAGAGAAAAGGCACTACCTTGATCGTCGCTAGTTCCATGGCAGAAAGGAAAACAGCTTTGGTGGATTTGATGCCAGTCATAAGTGCTCTTGCCCAGAAATGACACAAATTATTTTCACGGACACTTCATTCACCAGAATAAACCTACAGCCCCACCCAAACCCTGGGGGACCAGGTATCTTATCATGCACGTGAATTTGGGATAACTAGCAATATTTGGTTAGTTGTCCTAATCACTACTCAACAGATGGAAAGTATGAGTGATACAATATCCATTGATAATCAGGGCATAAAACAATTATGATACCAATATAGGAAAATAAAACAGAATTGTGCACCTACACTACAACAGAGAAAACAGCCCCAAATACCACACTTTTTTTTTTCAGAAAGTGGTAATATAGCTGACTTTTCTTTTTCTCCCTTTTAATGATTTTCAATCTTACGTCAATATGTATTTTTGCAAGTTGCAGGAAAATATACTCTTCCAGTCGGCTAGCAGGTGAGCAATGGTAGAAGAGTGTACAAACCCAGCCATAATATTCATAACAATATTCATTTGTGAAAGTGGAAAGGCAGAAGCTAGAGACAATCACCACTTGAAGGGTCTGAGAGAAAATCGGAGCCCAAAAGACGACAAAACGTATCTAAAACATGGCAAGTAGATAATGCTATAGTCTGGGCAAAACATCAGCTTTTCAGATTAGAAAGTTTGTGATTTTTCAACTATAATGCAAAATCCAGTCTTTTGCTTACTAGTAAAACTGATAGTTTCTTATTCTTTTTCATTTCCCTTCTTATCCCACAAGTTTAGTAATGAATGTTTTCGGAACAATGGGCTCTTAAGTACATTGGTTTAATGGATTTTCCGCCTTTGGGAGGGAGATAGCAGACTCTTTTAACTTGCTAACATCCTGGCAGCAGGGCATTGTCTTTCCGCTTGTGCACCCGCACATCTTCCTGTGTGTCTAACACAGAGGAATCTTTCAAATAATGACAATAATTTCAACCAAAATTCACAATTGTAGCTTCAGAGGCAGTATCCTTCTTTGGAATTCAGGTGTGTTCATTCGCGAGGGCTGCCACAACAATGTTCCATGGACTGTGCAGCTAAAACAACAGAAAACTTATTTTCTCATAGTTCAGAGGTCCAGGATCAAGCTGTTGGCAAGATTGGCTTTTCCTGAGGTCTCCCTCCTCGGCTTGTGAACGGCCACCTGCTTGCTTTGTCTTCACATGGTCTTTCCTCTGTGCATCTCTGTGTCCTAATCTCTTCTTAGAAAGACACCAGTCCTATTTGATTGGGGCCTACCCTCAGTCCCTCATTTCAACTTAATTACCTCTTTAAATCAATTGTCTCCAAATATAGTCACATTCTGAGGTTCTGTGGATTTCAGACTTCAGTGTAAGAATTCTGACAGTACACACACAGCCATTAACATCAGGTTTTCGAGAAACACTGTTTACTGACATCGAAGGAACTTCTATTTTTTGAAATACATAAAAATACCACATCTGAGTGAAAAGATGTTGTCCAGAAGAGCTAAGTATTATTTGGCCTAGCCTTTAAATGTCATCCTATAGAGACCAAAATCTCCTTGGAAGGGTGCAAGAACAGATATACATGTATATTCAAATTTGTGAACATGTTCTGTAGGCCTCTTCTTTCTGGCAAGAGACCTACTTGTGAGCACATTGACCTTCCCTGTGCCTCTCCTTCAGAGCAGGATTTGTAGAAACCAGAAGCTTCCAAGAGAATGGCAATTTACCTTGTTCCCCACTGTAACACACAGCAGGTGTTAATTACTTTGTTATTTTAATTGATCAAAATGCCCCTGATGCCACAATGATTCTGGGCACACTTAACAACTGCTATTCCCCCCATTTATTAAAAAAGCCTGCCCTGAGTGTCTCTTTGTTCAGCCAAAATTCTGTTCCAAATTGTTACTTGCTCATTCTTACTAGAATATGAAATCAATTCCCAAAGTTGACCCTTAGACATGTGTGTGTGTGTATATATATATATATTTGTATTATATATTATATTTTATATATATGTATTTGACACCAGCTGCAATGAAAATATAAGGAGTTAATAATTATCCCATTATGGGGCAAAAACTATGTCATATGAGCCTGTAGAACTTGACCCCCCCAATATAAATTGGGGCCATTCTCCTAGTAACTGGGAAAATAATGCAAGGTCTTCAATTTCCTAAATTGTGTGTGTGTGTTGTGTTTGCAAGTCTTGTTCGAGATTTACCAAATAGAGCTCAGTTGAGCACTCCTGAGATTTCTGTGATTTAAATGCACAAACAACGGTTCCTGGAGCCAGCCCCTCACTACAATATCAGGGGAGGCTGCTGTTTCTCTCTCTTTTATCCACTGAACAAAATGATTCCACATTGATATTTTACCTACTTTAATCGTGGGAAAGATCAAAAGAAACCAAAAATTCTGTTCAAGTCTTTTGAATATGGAGCAGCTAAAGTTGATGTCAAAAAAGGTGGCCCTGGAAGTAAAGAATCTAAGTTTCCATGGCCTTCTCCCTGACTCTGTGACACCGAGGAAGTCCTTTTCACCATTCTGAGCCTCAGTCATCTCCTCTGTTAAATGGTGATCAAGCACTATCTGATATATACCTTGCATACTGCTTTACAGTTTAGAAAACACAACATATGATGCTTATTGCTATCGGCACAGAAGGTAGGGAGGGTGTTTTAGAACTACCATTTAGCATATGCAGATTCTAAGGCTTAGAAAAGTGAGTGGCTCCTGGTAACATGGCTAGTGAATAGGAAAACACCACGCATTTCCTGAGAATAGAGGGGTAAACCAGATGTCCTTTTGATATCTCTTCTTGTTCTAAGATCTAAGGTTTTATGAAAAAATACAGCAAAATTTTGGAAAGTTTGCAATAACCTGCAAAAACACAAAAGCCAAATATCATTTATTCATACTAAAGAGATCCAAGGATAATAAATAATTTATATCTCCAGACAATACAAATCCTATTTTGCTTCTATGTAATTGCATTTGAACAAACAAAATAATATGTGTGAAATCATCTGCAGTGTCCAGTGTGTATTAGGTACTCAATATACGTTGGCTAAATCTAAAACTATTAAACCTATTTTTTTTCTTACTTCATAAGAATTTTTTTCTTGTATCCTCCAGAACTGTTCTTCTTTTAGCATGCTCCATGAATCACTGCTTGAGAATATATCAGATCCCAGGAATTGAATCAGTTTTTTGTGGAATCCATGTTTAGGAACAGGACAAGAAATAGCTTTCAGAACTATGTTTAGAATATTTTCTATTTCCAAGAAAGCTTATTGAAAACTGAGATAGAAAGCTCAGGTTTCAGACTAAGTAAATGCTATATGTGTGGTAGCCTTAGATGAATTATCCTACCAAATCTCATTGCTTTTGGCCTTTAATATATTATGCTATGTTTGTCTCTATGCTGTTCTGTAATTACTTCTCAGCAGTTTTATTTGTGTGATTTCTTGTAAGCAACATTAAGGCAGGATTCATTAATTCCCGTGTTTTTTTCTTTTTTTCCCATTAAAACACAGAGCAAAGAGAAGTATACAGGGCAACATAAAGGAAGAAAACGGGCTTTGACGTTAGAAGACTTGAAGCTGAATCCTAGATCCCCAAATTACCAGGTATGTGATGATGGGAAATTCACATAACCACTGGACCTCTGTTTCTTTTTGCTGAAATAAGGATGCAGACTAAAATAATTCACAGGGCGGTTTATAATCCAGTGAGTCAAAGCAGATGAAAGAGATCTATAATGATACAAGAACTATACAAATGTAAGTTCCTGCGTCAAACAGAGTCAGGTAGTTCATCTTCAGAAATGTTCATTTCCCTTTTAAGTGTACAAATATGGTACATTTCAAAGCATCCTTTTCAGTTTGGTGTAGTCATCTGACTGATCTATGACCAATGGAATGGGCAGAAAGTAAAAGATAGTAATTCCAAGTCTAACTCATAAAAATGTCCCATATACATGTCTCTCTCTGTCAGCTGAATAGATATTGATACCCAGAGTAATTGTGGAAGCTTGTACTGAAAAATGGTAGAGGCTTCAGCAGTCTGAGTACCTGAATGGCTGCGTGGAATAGAGTCCTCATTCCATCCTGCTGCCAAATGGACTTTACGTAAGTGGGAACTAAACCACTGTTGGGTTAATGCATCGATATTTTTAGTTTATTTGGACCAGCATCTAGCATAATCCTAACTAATGCAAGTGATATTATTCAGTGTTAGACAATGTAATTTTCTTCCAATATCTGTGGAGATTTTCTATCTCTCTGTGCTGGCAGCTTTCAAATACAAAAATGTCAGTATCATACTTGAAAAATTAAAAAACCTGAAAAAAGTACAAATCAGCAATAATTATAGTGCAATCACACCTGTGGTTTAACAGGATCCCAGCACCCCTAAATCATGCAGTCTGTGCACTGCTCAGCTGGCCAACCTTGAACACTGTGTAGTTATTTGTGTAGCCTTGGCCAGTGCTCTCATTTTGTTTTCATATTTGTTCATGAGACAAATTATCACACATTCTAATGACCATATGAACTTTTTGTTAGCTCATATGCAAAGCAAGTTGTGCCCACACATCACAATGTCATAAAACCTCTGCAAACCAATGGATGTTTTAAAATATGTTGCTACTAATATAAGACGTCTCAGTTACAGCAAAAGTTTGGTTTTCAAATTAATCATAAGTTGGCATCATGGCTTCCCTCATGATTCTTCCTGAGGGTTCAGGGTCTGGGCTCTTTAAGGTAACCTTTAACCTTATGAAACCCAAGGCATATACACAATGAATTCAGTGTGGGGTTGGGAGCTCCAGCAGAGTTGGGTACTTCAAGGCATAGCCCAGAGACTGCTGCAGAACTGATTGGCGAGGCACTCCTCTAATTCATTTCACATCCTGCTAATCAAAAGATTATCTCTAACACCCTTTCAGCTCTGCCAGGTTTTAGTTTGTGATTGCTTTCATATTTTCCTTGAAGCTCTATCTTTTATCTTTTATCATATTTTCATGATTGTTTCTTTTATCTTCAACATTTAACTTCTGGATCCTAACTCATGTTTATTACTCCATAGTGCCTTGTCCATAACCGTGACAAAAAAGCATGGTTCATCTAGTACCTTCTGATGAAAGTATAACAAAGATTGCCACTCCGTGGCATCTGAGCCCTGGTTTCCGAAGCACATTCATACTTTACCCACCATAACTCTATAAAATTAGAAGGGCAAGATTCTCATTTACAGATTAGGGTACACAAGCCAAGAGAGATAAGTTACTTGTTGGTGTTTCTGTGACAAAGAAACGGCAGATCTGAAATTAGCTCCCTCTTTCCTAACTTCCAATTCAGCATTCATTCTGCTGAATCACTCGTAGCCACTCCAACATTCAAGGAGTTAAGGTGATGAGGTGATGATAAAAGAGAAGCAGAGAATCCTTAACCTGAAAGAGCCATAGTCATATTGCCACCTTACAAAATACCCTCATGAACAAAAATGGTAATTAAAAAAGAGAGATAAGGCTTTTGCCCCTAATTGTCTATTCTGAACATTTTAAAATGAAGATTATTTCTGAATGAACCAGATTTTCCGGGGTAGAGCAGCAATGGTCTTAGTAAGAGTCATGACTTTGAAGGCCGGGCACAGTGGATCACGCCTGTAATCCCAGCACTTTGGGAGGCTGAGCGGGTGGATCACCTGAGGTTGGGAGCTGGAGACCAGCCTGACCAACATGGAGAAACCCCGCCTCTAATAAAAATACAAAATTAGCTGGGCGTGGTGGCGTGTGCCTGTAATCCCAGCTACTCGGGACGCTGAGGCAGGAGAATCTCTTGAACCCTGGAGGCGGAGGCTGTGGTGAGTCGAGTTTGCACCATTGCACTCCAGCATTGGCAACAAGAGTGAAACTCCGTCTCAAAAAAAAAAAAAAAAAAAAAAGTCATGACTTTTTAACCAGATATTTAAGTGAGGCTTCCTATATGTGCAAAAGGACCTTTAGAACCTGCCTAACAGTGAGAAGATTAAGATGAAAAGGAATCTTAATTTGGAGAACTTGGAGTATTGATGACATTACAAGAATATTCCACATGACTTGGCGGGGACTCCCAGCTAGCTAGCCAAAACTTGTTGACACCTCCTTTGTGCCTAAAGCTAGACTATATTTCTAAGTCTTCCATGCAGTTTTTTGTGGCCGTATAAATTAATATGGAAGCAAAAATGCCATGTTCCACATCTAGATCTGGTCCATAAAAAACTCCTAATTGTGGAACACAATGATTTTTTTTTTCTATAGGAGTTACCACAGCCACAAGATGTAAGGAGCTTTAATAATCACATGCAAGAGGACATGTCTGTACACCTGTCTCCTTTCATACCTGGGTTTCTTTGTTACCTCATCTTACCTTATTCTAACTAATACAAGTGGTCAACAGAAGCATATAATGTAGTAATGAAGCCAGAAAACAGCAACTACCCACACAAAAAAACCCTCAGGCAATTATTGGTACACCTGAAGGATCATTCCACAGAATAAAAGAATTTTCAATAGAAAATTGGTTGATAAAAGTGTAGCTCCATTTCAGGAGATTCCTATGTTATTCACGTATTTAAAAATGAGACATTACCATTTATCATATAGGCAAGTGCTGACTTTAAATATAAAAAAAGAGAGAAGAGATTGAAGTTTTTTGTTCTCCTCAAATATGTCACAATTTGGTACAAAAGTCAAGCACTCTCCAAAGTAATAACCATGATTTTGTATGACAAATTTGGGGAATTAAGAATGATTTATGACATTTATAAAAAAAAATCAAATTTTGAATTCAATATTTGCATATTACATACACTATAAATATTTGGTTTTTACATATTCTTTTCATCTATATCTTTCCACCTACCTACCTACTTACCTACCTGTTATGGGCTCTGAAATAAGACAGCGTATGCTAAAATCTAGTTATGTCACTCATCTGTGGCATGCCTTTGGGAAACTTGCATCAACTCTCTGGTTTTTATCTGTTGTGAAATGAAGTGAGTGCATGCATATGGTGGCCATGAAAATGCAGCTCTCAGATCTCCCACAACAGGAAACATATTTGACAGGTGCCTCCAGTGGCTGACTGCCTGGATCTTTCCCCGTGTTCAACAGAGGTCTAAATGCAGGCCCAATTTCTGCAAGAAGAGGAATACTTTTAAGGAGCAACTTGGCTTGAGGCCTCCCCTCATCCTGGTTGCAACTTTCTTAGAACTGTCCTACAGGTTGAGACTCTTCCTACCCAATCTGCATCACTCTCTAAAGGTTCTTTCTCTTTTCTTTGCTTTCCTTCTTTTTATCCCTCACAGCTATTTAGTTGTTCTCAGTAAAACTTGTGCATGTCTAATCCCATCTTGGAGACCCAAAGTAATGCAATGCCTGTCAAGAGGGTAAGTGCTTAATGCCTATTGACTATTTTTATTTGTATTATTTTTATTAATAAAAGAGTAGATCCCATAAGCACAATGGTAAAGTGGCAGCCTTAGCGGTCAGGTAAACCTAGAGTAGACTTTCAAGACTAGGAAAAACATACACAACTTAAGAAAATCTTGTATCTTAGTGAATATTACGATATCATCACTTAAAATGAAGATGAATACAGAAAGCAATAAAAACAACATATAAAGGCTGATTTATAATTCACAGTTAGTTTAGATATATTTTTTAGTTTTATTTTTAAAGTCCTCTCACCTTTATTCTAATTTTAGAGATGTGATGAAGAAAGGTTGAAGGAGTAAACAAAAATGGAGTGTGGCTGAATTTTGCATTGAACACTTGAATTTTATAGCACATACACAGATAAGCTCTTTCCCATAATTGGTGTAGACTTTAAGGAAGTAAAATAAAAATAGGAGGGGCAAAATAACTCTTCTCTAATACAGAAAGCAATAGAACATGATTTTCTATTTGTGAATTCTTAGTACCAGCCAGACATGCATTATAATATATATTGAATGTTGCCTCTGTGTAGAGTTGAATGCTAAGTGATTTGGGGACAACGTCAAAGGATAGAGATGTAATGGTCACTGATTTCTGTCATTGGGCTGCTTAAGGCTTACACGGATCTCCATATGTAAATAATTTATTAATAAATAACAAAGTACAACCCAGGCTCAGAGATGCTATAAAAATTTCTAAGTAGACAATAAGAAGTTATCTCACAACAGTCAGAATGGTTATTATTAAAAAGTCAAAAATTAACAGGTGCTGGTAAGGCCATGTAGAAAAGGGAAGATTTATACACCATTGGTGAGAATGTAAATTATTTCAGACACTATGGAAAGCAGTTTGGAGGTTTCTCAAAGAACACAGAACTATCATTCAATCCAGCAATCTTGTTACTAGGTGTATATCCAAAGGAAAAGAAATTGTTATAACAAAAAGACACATGCACTCATATATTCATTGCAGTACTATTTGCTATAGCAAAGAGATGAAGTCAACCTAGGTGCGCATCAGTGGTGAATTTGGTAAAGAAAATGGTACATATACACCATGGAATAATGTACAGCCATAAAAGAGAACAAAACAGGCCGGGCACAGTGGCTCACATCTGTAATTTCAGCACTTTGGGAGGCTGAGGCAGGTGGATCACCTGAGGTCAGGAGTTCAAGACAAGCCTGGCCAACATGGCAAAAGCCCCGTCTCTACTAAGAATACAAAAAACATTAGCTGGGCATGGTGGTGCGCACCTGTACTCCCAACTACTCGGGAGGCTGAGGCATGAGAATCACTTGAACCCAGGAGGCAGAGGTTGCAGTGAGCCGAAATCATGCCACTGCACTCCAGCCTGGGTGACAGAGTGAGACTCCATCTAAAAAAAAAAAAAAAAAAAAAGGGAACAAAATAATATCCTTTGCAGCAACAGGGATGCAGCAGCCGGAGGTCATGATCCTAAGCAAATAAACACAGGAACAGAAAACCAAATAGCTCATATTCTCATTTATATGTGAAAGTGAATCGTCGGGTACTCATGGACAGAGAAATGGGAAGAACAGACACTAGAGGCCCCTAGATGGGTGAAGGAGGGAGAAGGGCAAGGGCTGAGAACTACCTGCTGGGTACCATGCTCACTACCTGGCTGATAGGATCATTTGCACCCACAAACCTTCGTGTCATGCAATATACCCATGGGACAAACCTGCACATGGACCCTTGGAATCTCAAATACAAGTTGAAATTATTAAAAAACAAATGAAAACATTTCTTAATTGTGCACCACATGTCAGGCATGGTATTTACGTTATCCCATGAAATCCTGTTGAGAGGAACTGTGGATCTTCCCTATATTCTGGGTAGGAAAGCTGAGATATAGACCAGAACACAGACCCAGGATTTTTTTTTTTTTTTCTTTTGGTGAGATGGAGTCTAGCTCTGTTGCCCAGGCTGGAGTGCGGTGGCGTGATCTCGGCTCACTGTAACCTCCGTCTCCTGCAGACCCAGGATTCTAACCTGGATTTACCTGGGGCCAGGGCTTTTCTTTTTAGCCACTTAGGCACTGAGAGCCTACACGGTTCCAGCCCGTAATCTAAACAATATGACTGTCAGGAAAGATGATTTTAACAGAGACAGATCTTGAGTAGATAGTGCATCTCGTAGCTTTTACAGAAGGTAAAATAAAGAATATTCCAAGGATAGAATACGGAAACGAGGGCAAAGGTGCAAAATGGAAAGCAAGCAAACTATAGTTACAAGAGAGAAAGACAGCCCCTTCTATCAGCACTAGAAGCTCTGTTTGGGGAATTACTGAGAGATGAGTCGGGGTGGTGGAGGGGAGCGGGTCATTGCTGGACAGCCTGAAGTGCAGGTCACAGCAGAATTGACACTTGCTGTTGAAGGCATTTTGTTCTGGCAGCTGTAGGTTCTGGGCCTGGAATCCTGGCATGAGGGTGTGGGGGGCCGGCTTAGGGGTGTAAGTCTGGAAATGGAAAGCAAGGTGTGACTCAGGAACACAAAAACAAAACCAAACCCCAACCGTTTACAGAACAAGCACGGGGGATTGGTGACATCGCGTAAAGGAAACACGAGGAGGAAAGCCAGCCTTGGTCCGCAGCTGGGCACTGGTACCACGCGAGACAGGGGGGTTAGAACACGACGGGGAGGCAGGAAATATTGTCAGCAGTAACAGCAAAGCTCCACAGTCCTGCTTTCCACGATCATCACACACTGTGTGCAGTCTATATATACAGGCTGCCTGGGAACAGGAGACTGGCCTCCCGGGCTTGCCGGACCCCACGCAGGTGCAGAATCGCCCGCTGTAGGGAGTGCAGCAGACAAAAGGGTCTCACTCAGGTCGGAGTCAGAGCTGACCAGAATGTCACCCTCGGTCGTCTGCCAGGCCTTGCAGGGGAATTCTGCAATTGCTCCCGCCCCACCCTTCCCCAGAGCCAGAGCTAATCCCCTATGAAAAGATTTGGAGCTGCAGCCGCCATCTCCCCAGGCACCATTGTGTGTTTCTGCAGCTCAAGTGGGCCCCAGCGCGGGCAGCTAACAGTCTGCGACACACATGCTGATGCCACGCCACGCGGCTGCCTAATCAGCGCCTATTATGTTGTATAAAGCTGCACTGATGTGCCTCTTAAAACCGTACCACGGACACACCTACCATCTGACACCGTACAATTAGCCCTGCACTCTCGGAGCCCAGGGTAGCAGCGGCGTTGCCACATTAGAGGAATGGTTACTGGAGAGATTCCGCATAGCCTGTATTGCCTGCAGAGAGCCTTCTCCCTTCTAGGGCAAAGGATGGGGGGTGGTGTTCTGTGTATCACCGAAAAGTGTTAATTTTCCAGAGCATTTCCTCCTAAGGAAACCACTGTGCTATCTCGTCATGTGATCCATTACGATTTACCCCGCTGGGAAATGTTCCCCCTTCCCTAGACAGAAAATAGGACTTCACTGAGCAATTGATGTGTTTGGTTGGAGAAGTATATTTGTTTTGGGAGCTCTGTGACATTTCACTTCACCAGATAATCTTATAGAAAACCCCCGTGACACCTCCATGTATTATATTCTATCATGTTTCACCCCCAGTCCAAGCTCCTCTACTCCCTGCTACATACACACACACACACAGACACACACACAGACACATACACAGACACACACACAGACATGCACTCACACAGACACACACACAGACATGCTGTCACTCACTTATACATAGACACAGACATGCACTGTCTCACACACACACAGACACTCGTCTATTCACACAGACACACACACACACACACTCACCCACCCACTCACTCATATATATACACACACAGACATGCACCCATTCACCATAGACACACACACGCACACAGACACGCACCTATTCACCACACATAAACACATACACACACTTACACACAGACACCCACTCACACACACACACACAGACTTGCACCCTTTCATGATATACACACACACACACATATGCACCTACTCCCAGACACACAGACATGCACCTACTTACATATAGACACACACACATACACTCACACAGACACACACACAGGCATGCACTCACACACACACAGACAACACACGCACACAGAGGTCAGGCTCAAATCTGCTTCCAAATGCACAGACAGGACAATACTGCAAAGGCAAACTTACAGAGTACAATGCTACTTGAAGGTTTCTCGAGCATCCAAAAGAGGCAAGGAGCTAGGTCTCATAAACACTGGAATTGGGATTCTAGCATACAAAGTCACCATCAGGGCTTGTGCTATACCATGTACAAACGCAGTTTTCAACAAGGAGAACAGAGCATTGAAAACCTGGATTCTTCTTAGAAAATCCAGCTATGGGCTGTAATTGTCAGAGCATGGAGAACAGCCAGCGGTCAGGGAGGCTGGGAGGAGAGCTTTCGTGAGCTGTAAAGGAAGCCAACGTCCTGTCTCCAGCAGGACGCTTTGTGGGGGAGGAGGAAATGTGTTTGGGGAGGCCTGTTTACACACCAAGGGGCAATGCAAATTCACTGGTGAGGGCCGTCCAGGGACACATGGGCAGGGAATGAAAGGTTTTAGGATAATGGAAATTGTTCCCTCTGGTGCTGTTTTTTCTAACCAGGAAGTAAGAAAATTTCCACCTTTCCCAAAATCTGTTTTTATCCATCTGTAGTCTCAGGAACTGAGACAGCTCTCCTGCTGCAACTTAAAAAATAAAACACTATGAAATAAAAGCTGAACCTTTGATACCAAAACATCTCAATAGCTTTTTTTGTTACTGTCATTTTAGTGGTGGTGGTGGTGCATCCCCCAATCTTTATTCTGATTCACCTTCTGCTCTGAAACTGCAACGTTTCTTGGGAAGTGCCAAGAGAACAGTTTTTGCTGAATTTCCAGCTGGAAGTTTTAGGAATTAAAATGTCCCAGTATGTCAGCACTCATGCTATTTCTAGTCATGCTTTGAATCAGATGTGACTAAAAATATGGATTTTCAGATTCTGACAAAAAAAAACACAAAACACTTTGACATACTTTGAGAATACCCAGATACTTACCTATTTATTTGGAGTTGGAGGTGGTAGCTTTTGGTCAAGGGGAAAGGTCTATTGAATATTTTGTAACAAAGAAATGTTTAAAATAGACTTGTCTTCTATTCAAGTTCAGCTTCAGAAGTCACACCATCTCCTATCCCTGAGCCACTTGTGATCTACGTTTTTGTATCAGAGTCTCTTAAAGCACATGAAATTTTGTTTTCTTTTTTTATACCCCAGATTCCCTCAATGTATAAGACAAGGAGCCTCAAGAAAAGAATTGAACGTAGGGGCCGGTAGTCAATGTCAGCACATTCTCTAATGAGCTCTAGCCACAGTGAACTGCCACACTGATGAGACCACATGTTCCAGGCAGACAGATGGAGGCCCTCAGGGGGTCACAACCCCCCTTGTAAGGAAAGCTGGAGTCACATACGTGCACAATTTTGGTAGGGAAAAAAAGAATACCAAGACATTGACACTTCACAGAAGATACTAGCAACTTTGCTACAGAGACATTAACCCTCTCAGCTTCCCGACTCTATCTTCTGATTTTCCCATGGGTTGGGCAGCTACATTCTTCCTTGAGCACATTTTTCTAAGAAGAATAAGATGGAAAATTAGCATTCTCAGAGGCTCCAGCAATCATGCAGATGCAATAAGCTGAATGCATCGTGCAACAAAATAAAACATGGAGCATGCTTCTATTTGGATCTGTGCTCTCCTAATAGCAACCACACACGCGTGTTAGATTTGGGATTATTGAAGATACCACAGAAGAGGGGGGAAGGTGACAGAGAGAGAGGTTAAATGGGAAAGGGAGGGGCACGCAGGATCAGTTTTATTCCTAGGACATTATATGTGTGAGAGATACTACGAGGAGATCCTTGGAGAGGTACGGTGAAAGGACAGAATTTGTATTTTTAGTTGATTAAAAATATGCTGTCTTCCAGTAAACAAACAAACATTTACATTAAAATGGGACTGCAGAAGATGGCAAAGTAGATTACCTTTTTGATCCATACAAGGTGGGTGGGGCTTTATTTTTTTTATTATACTTTAAGTTCTGGGGTACATGTGCAGAACATGCAGGTTTGTTACACAGTTATACATGTGCCACTGTGGTTTGTTCCACCCATCAACCTGTCATCTACATTAGGTATTTCTCCTAATGCTATCACTCCTCTATCCCCCCCACCCTCCGAAAGACCTTGGTGTGTTATGTTCCCCTCCCTGTGTCCACATGTTCTCATTGTTTAACTCCCACTTATGGGTGAGAACATGCAGTGTTTGCGAGAGGTGGAGCCAGCTGGACTCCCTGGGTTGAGTCGGGGCTTAGAGAACTTTTCTGTCTAGCTAGAGGATTGTAAATGCACCAATCAACACTCTGTGTCTAGCTAAAAGATTGTAAATACACCAATCAGCACTCTGTAAAAATGCACCAATCCACACTCTGTGTCTAAAGGATTGTAAATGCACCAATCAGCACTCTGTAAAAACGCACCAATCAACACTCTGTGCCTAGCTAAAGGATTGTAAATGCACCAATCAGCACTCTGTAAAAATGCACCAATCAGTGCTCTGTGTCTAGCTAAAGGATTGTAAACACGCCAATCAGCACTCTGTAAAATGGACCAATCAGCACTCTGTAAAATGGACCAGTCAGCAGGATGTGGGTGGGGACAAATAAGGGAATAAAAGCTGGCCACCCCAGCCAGCAGTGGCAACCCACTCAGGTCCCCTTCCATACTGTGGAAGCTTTGTTCTTTTGCTCTTCATAATAAATCTTGCTGCTGCTCATTCTTTGGGTCCGTGCCACCTTTAAGAGCTGTAACACTCACTGCGAAGGTCTGTGGCTTCATTCTTGAAGTCAGTGAGCCCAAGAACCCACTGGAAGGAACCAAATCTGGACACATCTTGTTGACCACAAAGGGACCATTGCCAAGCAGTGAGTACCATCGGACCCCTTTCACTTGCTATTCTGTCCTATTTTTCCTTAGAATTTAGGGGCTGAATACCAGGCACCTGTCGGCCAGTTAAAAGCAAATAGTGTGGCTACCAGACTAAAGACACGGGTGTCAGGCTTTCTAGGAAAGGGCTCTCTAACAACCCCTGACTCTTCAGAGTTGGGAGCATTGGTTTGCCTGGAACCAGCTTGTGCTTTTCCTGTACTTCTGGGCTGAGCCAAGGGTGGACAGAGAGGAAAGCCGCTCAGCTCTGGGGTCCCAACAAAAAGTTGGTTGATCCTGTAGCCATGAGCAGAACTCTCAAAGTCATGTCACCTAAGTGAGACTCGCCCATCTATCCTATCTATCCTGACCCTTGCCTCCTGGGTCCTAATGTCTGTCAGACAAATTTCCTCCTGGCTCTCTTCTCTGAGGCTAGTCCTGCTTCCAAAAACCACTCCCTGTCTCTGGTGCTTTTCTAGTTTCTCCTATAAGAATGATTTCTAGTATGAACCTCAGGATTCTGTTTCCTTCTTCAGGCACCCAGGCTCACCAATCAGAAAGACATAATTTTTGCCCAAAGCCCCATTGAGGGGGGACTATCTTGAATTTTAGGATCCCTTCTCAGACTAGCAGGCCTAACAAAAGCATATTCCTGAAGCTAGGATATGGAGAGCCTCAGAAATGATATCCCTCCTATTCATATGATGAGAAGTGAGGACAAAAGGCATCACTCTTCCAACCCTGGAGATCCCTTCCCTCCCTCAGGGTATGGCCCTCCACTTCATTTTTGGGGCATAACATCTTTATAGGACACTGGAAAGGTCCCAGTGCTAACAGGAGAAAGCTTAGGACTCTAACAGGTATTTGAGAATGTGTCAGTAACGGTCACTAAATCTGATTTTTCTTGGTCCTCTTTGTGGTCTAGGAGAATGGGCAAGGGTGCAGGTTTTCAAGAATGCGTCAGCAAGGGCCACTAAATCCAACCTTCCTCAGTCCTCCTCATGGTCTAGGAGGAAACCTAGTGTTTCTGCTGCTGCGTCAGTGAGCGCAACTATTCCGATTAGCAGGGTCCAGGGACCGTTGCAGGTTCTTGGGCAGGGGGTGGGAAACAAACAAACCAAAACTATGGCCATTTTTTTTTCTTTCAGATGGGAAACACTCAGGCATTAACAGCCTCACCCTTGAAATGCATCCTAAGCCATTGGGACCAATTTGACCCACAGACCCTGAAAAAGGGGCAGCTCATTTTTTTTCTGCACTGTGGCCTGGCCCCAGTATTCTCTCTCTGATGGGGAAAAATGGCCACCTGAGGGAAGTATAATTACAACACTATCCTGAAGCTTCACCTTTTCTGTAAGAGAGAAGGCAAATGGAGTGAAATACCTTAGGTCCAAGCTTTCTTTTCATTGAAGGAGAATCCACAACTATGCAAAGCTTGCAATTTACATCCCACAAGAGGACCTCTCAGCTTACCTCCATATCCTAGCTTCCCTATAGCCCCTTCCTATTAATGATAAACCTCCTCTAATCTCCCCCACCCAGAAGGAAACAAGCAAGGAAATCTCCAAGGCACTACAAAACCCCCCTGGCTATCGGTTGTGTCCCCTTCAAGCTGTAGGGGGAGGGGAATTGGGCCCAACCTGGGTACATGTCCCTTTCTCCCTCTCTGATTTAAAGCAGATAAAGGCAAACCTGGGGAAGTTTTCAGATAATCCTGATAAGTATACAGATGTCCTACAGGGTCTAGGGGAAACCTTCAATCTCACTTGGAGAGATGTCATGTTATTAGGTCAAACCCTGGCCTTTAATGAAAAGAATGTGGCTTTAGCTGCAGCCCAAGAGTTTGGAGATACCCGGTATCTTAGTCAAGTAAATGATAGAATGACAACCAAAGACAGGGATAAATTTCCTACCGGTCAGCAAGTCGTCCCCAGTATGGATCCCCACTGGGACCTCGACTCAGATCATGGGGACTGGAGTCTCAAACATCTGTTGACGTGTTTTCTAGAAGAACTAAGGAGAATTAGGAAAAAGCCACGAATTATTCAATTCCACCATAACTCAGAGAAAGGAAGAGTTCAATTATTCCACCATAACTCAGAGAAAGGAAGAAACTCTGGACATATCAGAAGGAACAAACTCCGTACATACCATCTTTAAGAGCTGTAACACTCACCGCAAAGGTCCGTGGCTTCATTCTTGAAGTCAGCAAGACCGAGAACCCACCAGAAAGAACTAACTCCGAACACATTTGGTTTTCTGTTCTTGTGTTTTCTGAGAATGATGGTTTCTAGCTTCATCCATGTCCCTGCAAAGGACATGAATTCATCCTTTTTTATGTCTGCATAGTATCCCATGGTGTATATTTGCCACATTTTCTTTATCCAGTCTATCATTGATGGGCAATTGGGTTGGTTCCAAGTCTTTGCTATTGTGCAGTGTGCTGCAATAAACATATGTGTACATGTGACTTTACAGTAGAATGATTTTTAATCCTTTGGGAATATAACTAGGGATGGGATTGCTGGGTACAATGGTATTTCTAGTTTTAGATCCTTGAGGAATCGTCACACTGTCTTCCACAATGGTTGAACTAATTTACACTCCCACCAACAGTGTAAAAGTGTTCCTATTTCTCCACATCCTCTCCAGCATCGTTTGTTTTCTGACTTTTTAATAATCACCATTCTAACTGGCATGAGATGGTATCTCATTGTGGTTTTGATTTGCATTTCTCTAATGACCAGTGATGATGAGCTTTTTTTCATATGTTTGTTGGCTGCATAAATGTTTTCTTTTGAGAAGTGTCTGTTCATATCCTTCGCCTACTTTTTAATGGGGTTATTTGTTTTTTTTTCTTGTAAATTTGTTTAAGTTTTTTGTAGATTCTGGATATTAGCCCTTTGTCAGATGGATAGATTGCAAAAATTTTCTCCCATTCACAGCTAAATTCTACCAGAGGCTTTATTTTTATATTAAATATTTGAGTTTTGAAGACTTTAAAATATCTTTTTATTTGTTCTGGAAACCATATTTTCTATCACTGGAAAAATGTTGACTACATTTATTATAGAAACAATGGAAAAATTCATTCACTCATTCATCCATTTGTTTCTTCACTGTGAGGCACTACCTTGCAGGCCATTTAGAGTAATTGTTCCTCACCAACCAAATGCCTTGAGCATCCCCCAGTCATTGTGACAACCAAAAAGAAAACTAAAAGCCTCCAACTTGTTTCCAAACACTCTCTAGAGGAAGGGGGTACAATCTCTCATTTTCCCCCCTCCTCCGCCACTTTTATAGGCTGAAAAGTCTTGAAAGACCTTGTGGATTTACAGCAAACAATATGGTGCCCAACAATAAAGAATGAACAGTCTGGTGGGGAAACAGACAGGCAAGTGTAATCATTTCATTAAGGTATAACCAGTTTCAGTCCCATCCAGTTTTAAAACTTCTATGTAATTATCAGTTCAAAACTCAACTCTTCTCTTCCCTGAGCTCAGACTAGAGCTGGGCCCTCAGAACCATGGTGTGAAGGATGGTGTATGTGCCAGGGGGCTGGAGACGCAAAGCCTTCCTCCTCCTATCATTGACCCCTCTCATATCTTGCACGATACATGTTATGATTTTGTAAACAATTCCAACTATCTGTAGGATATCAGCAGGATACCTACTCTCTATAGGAATTGTTGGAGGAAGAAAGTGCTTTGGCCTGGTTTTATAAATAGAGTAGTATTACAAATCTGATCCATCAGAAACCATGAAACCTAATTTTTCCTGAGCATCTATTGGCTCTATTTCAACTTATGCCATTACTGAGTAGTTTCTTCACTATTAATTTGATGAAATTTAGAGTGTTGAAATAACACATCAAGCATGAAGAAGAAAAAATAATGTATGATTACAGATATTAGTAAAACACTGTAAAATTTGCACATAATCTGAAAAAGGCATTTGATATTTAAATAACTTATTCTAAAAATGTTAGAGAAATAGAGAAGAAAATATACATCTCCTTTGGGGCAGAGCCCCCCAATTTAAATTAGCATTAAACAGCCCCACAGTTTTAATTTTGCAATAGCCCACTGTTTTTACCACAGATTTCTGATCCTTCTTTCTTA
Organism: Homo sapiens; assembly: GCF_000001405.40. Lineage (NCBI taxonomy): Eukaryota > Metazoa > Chordata > Mammalia > Primates > Hominidae > Homo > Homo sapiens. The sequence continues at coordinate 10,287,026 of NC_000010.11, read as the reverse complement.
ATTGCATCCAGTTCCTTCTACTAAACCAATACTTACTTTTCAACTATTTTGAAAATCTTCCAGGTGCTAATCAAACAAGGAGGATGCCAATGCTTCTGCAAATTCCATCTCTGTATGCTCGTATGGTGTCTTTTAGTCATTGGGACAGCCCTGACTTTTACTTTTGTATCCATGACCTGATGACAAATGCCACCTGAGCAATAACAGAAAAGGAAAGAATAAATGGGACCTGATATTAAAGAAGCATTTTAAAGGTATAAAAAGCCCAAGCAACATTTTTTGCTTTTCTTTTTAAATATAACATTCGAACTCACAGTCCTTGATCTTCAAGCCTGTTATTTCAAACCACTGAGCCATGTTACCTCTCTGAATAAGCGGACAAAGACTTTGTGATGCCTTTGCAGTATGGGATTACCTTGGAAGATATATTGTGTCTAGAACAAAGATGCAATGGTGCCTTTCTAATTGATCTTGTCACCACTGCTCCTTCAATCTCACCACGCTGCTTTCACATCATTGAAAGACTATGCAACCACTCACTGCTAATGCTGGCAGAGCATAAAGATAGAGTTGGTTTCAAAACAAAATGTGAGATCTGATATGATTTGTACACATACCCTGAGTGCATAAGAAAGTTTCGTTTTGAAATAAACGCACCAATGATTCAGATTTTCATATGCTTGAGAATGAATGTAACTTGTGAATATGAAGAAAGAAGAGATTAGCATAAAAACAATATGCTAGTCTATATAATTATTTTAATGTATTAAAATTTATTTGGCAAATATAAATAGGGTTCAACTCTTCTGTCTGACATTCTAGAAATACAGATTTCATTAATGGAATGAATAATAAAGACTATTGGCAACCAGGCATTATGGCTTTCCTGAGCTTGCAATTAGGAATCACTTCTAGCATCAGTATTTTCAAAAGGATACAGTTAGCCTTCTAGACCCATGAACTCAGTGGGTAAATCAGGGCATCATCTCTTAGTTTCAATTCTCTCACCTGAGGTGGATTTAAGTGCTCTACTATTCTCTGAGCTTCCCTCATCACACAGTGTTAGTTGGTGATTAAGAAAATTGACACTAGAACCAGTGTTTATATTTGATTCTGTGGGAAAGAAGACCACACTTGGTCTCTATTACTCCATTCTTGCACTGCTGTAAAGAAATACCTTTATTTAACTATAAAATACTAAATACTTGTTATCATTCTCAAATATTATGTACTACACATAATTGTGTGTGCTTTGCTTTTATATAACTGGCGGTGTATTCACTGTGTTCCCACCAGCATCACCACAAACACATGAATAATGTGATACACTACAACATTCCAATGGGTACAACATCACCAGGCAATAGGAATTTTCCAGTTCCATTATCATCTTTGAGGCCATCATCATATAAAGGTATAAACAAGAAGTACCTTTATTTGACTAGAAAATACCTTTACTGATGAGGTTAATTATAAATGAAAGAGGTTTATTTGCTCATAGTTCTGCAGGCTTTACAGGAAGCATGGTGCTGGCATCTTCTTAGCTTCTAGGGAGGCCTCTGGAACCTACCAATCATGGTAGAAGGTGAAGGAGGAGCAGGTAAGAGAGAGTGGGAGTGGGGTGGTTGGTGCCACACACTTTTAAATGACCAGATCTGGCAAGAACTCACTCACTATCATGAAGGAAGCACCAGACCATGAGGGATCCGCCCCCATGATCCAAATAACTCTCACCAGGCTCCATCTCCAGCATTGGGGATTATAATTCAACACGATATTTGAGCAAGGACAAATATCCAGACTATATCCCAGTCCATGCAGGCACTGATGCTATACTCTCTGTAGACAAATGTATACTTCAATTAATCAGATTTAAATTTTCTTTTAAAGTCTATAAGCATATAGACTAGAAAGTTAAACAGGCAGGGGGAGATAATCTTGTTATGACTTCAAATGTATATATTAATGCAAAGAAGACTATGATTTACTTTCTTCTGCTTTCTGCATAATGCTATTGTAAACAATTTAAAAAAACACAACCTACATGTCAGAAACACTTACCTACATTGGATTCCTGTCAACTGAGTTGACCCCTACAAATTTTTGTAAAATTATTCATAAAGTGTGAGTTTTTTTGTTTTGTTTTGTTTTTTGTTGTTGCTTTTTGCTGTTGTTGTTGTTGTTTCTGAGACGGAGTCTCGCTCTGTCACTCAGGCTGGAGTGCAGTGGCGCGATCTCGGCTCACTGCAAGCTCCGCCTCCCGGGTTCACACCATTCTCCTGCCTCAGCCTCCTGAGTAGCTGGGACTACAGGCACCCACCACCACGCCCAGCTAATTTTTACATTTTTAGTAGAGACAGGGTTTCACTGTGTTAGCCAGGATGGTCTCAATCTCCTGACCTCGTGATCCACCCACCTCGGCCTTCCAAAGTGCTGGGATTACAGGCATGGGCCACTGGCCAAAATTATTTTTATCACTGTCCAAACAATAAAATATCCTACAGTTAGAATATACTTTGTTGATTTTTGATGTTTAATGACTGAACTGTCATGTCAATGAGTGGTGATCAAATGAACATTACGGAGAATTTTCTGTTTTATCACCAGAACAAATATCCAGTGCACTCTCTCTCTCTCTCTCTGTGTTCCATTCCATAGGTACTATCTGCTGTTTTGATTTGAAACTGAATAATACACAAGCATGAAACAAAAATGGTAAGAATTATGCTTAGAATAATTCAACTGGAATTAATGAAATGTAAAGATTTCATTCACAAGCCCTCCAACCAAAAGTAAGTCATAGTGTTCAGAAGTTATTGCATGATGAAAAAAAGCATTCCTTCAATTGAAATATGGAATAGTGATATTTTATCACACGGAGATAAAATAAAGTGTTAAATACAGTCAGTCAGTCGATGATATATGGACTGCATGTACAATGATGGCCTTGTAAGATTACAATGGAACTGGAAAATTCCTATTGCGTGGTGATATCATACCTGTTACAATGTTGTAGTGTATCACACTATGGAAAACAGTATAGAAAGTTCTCAAAGAACTAAAAGCAGATCTACTTGATCCAGCAATCCTACTACTGGGTATCTGCCTAAGGAAAAGAAGTAATTGCATAAATATTGCATATATTTATTGAAGCACAATTCACAATCACAAATATATGGAATCAACCTAAGTACCCATCAGCCAACGTGCAGACAAAGAAAATGTGGTGTGTTTATACCATGGAATACTACTCAGCCATAAACAAGAATGAAATAATATCTTTTGCTGCAACTTGGATGAAACTGGAGGCCATTATCCTAAGAGATGTAACTCGGGAATAGAAAACCAAATATGATATGTTCTCATTTATAAGAGGAAACTAAGCCATGTGTACACAGGGGCATACAGAGTAATATAATGGACTTCAGAGACTCAGAGGAGGGGAAAGGAGGAGGGAAGTAAGGGATGAAAAATTGCCTATTGGGTACAATGTACACAATTCAGGTTATGGATACAGTAAAAGTTTTATACAATTCATTCAGGTCACTAAAAACCACTTGTACCCCTAAATATATTGAAATATATATATTTAAAAAGCTACATTAAGCTATGGTGAATTTATTATTTTAAAAAAGTTTTTTAAATGAATGTAGTGTGACCTAAGCATACAGTGTTTATAAAGTCTACAGCAGTATATGGTAACATCTTAGGCCTTCCGATTCTCTCACTACTCACTCACTGACTCACCCACGGCAACGTCCAGTCCTGCAAGCTCCATTCATGGTGAGTGCCTTGTACAGGTGTACCATTTTTTATCTTTTATACTATATTTTTACTAACCCGTTTTCTGTGTTTAGATACACAAATATTTACCATTGTGTTACAATTGCCCACAGTATTCAGTGCCTTGTGGACATACAAGATTGCCCTTCCCTGGTCCCTTGAGGTTAAGTGTTCTGTGAGCCATATTCACTATGAAATACGGGAGATGGTGAGTAAGTCTCCATCTTTCTCTCCTACTTTGGAGACTGTGCCTGTATTTGTTCATAAAGAGAATGACTGGGAGCCACCACGTAGAATCTCCTTGCCCTAGAACCTATGCATGGGAAAGAAGAGCAAGAGCAAGAAAGCAAATTTTGCTACTGTGAGCTGCGGCAACTTTGTGCCTTGCCTTAACGCAGCATGCCTCACTATCCTGATGAACACATCACCTTCGCTTTGCATAAACAGCTTAAAAATAAACAGGCTTGGAAATTCTCTCTCATGCAGATCCAGCAAATCCCTCTGATGTCAACCTATGTAGTTAGTTCTCAAGAGGAAATGAGACCTCTATTTATCTTCTATAATATGGCCAAAGATTATTCATCACGGCCCTGATAACAACAGAGAAGTGGGGCTCTCTCTGCTTTATGGAGAAAATATTTATTGTTATTGTGTCACTAATTTACCTCTCTGTTTCCTCCCTTGCTCTCTTCCTTTTACTCTTCTCTCAAGAGTTTGGAAGAGCCTAAAGCTATCTTGGATGCACCACTGTAACTTTGAAATATTATGTATGTGATCCTAATACCCACTGAAGGAATATCAGGAAAACACAAAACACAGGAAAAATGGACAGATTTGCCACATGATAGAGATCTACATAGGGCCGGTTGCAGTGGCTCATGCCTGTAATCCCAGCACTTTGGGAGGCCGAGGTGGGTGGATCCCATGAGGTCAGGAGTTTGAGACCAACCTGGCCAATATGGTGAAACCCTGTCTCTACTAAAAATACAAAAATTAGCCAGGCATGGTGGCTTATACCATAATCGCAGCTACTTGGGAGGCTGAGACAGGAGAATCACTTGAACCCAGGAGGCGGAGGTTTCAATGAGCTGAGATCTGCAACAAGAGCGAAAGTCTGTATGGAAAAAAAGAAAAAATCTACATAGATGAATGTCACTTTAGAATCAGAAAGACAGCTTTTCCATTACAAATAAAAGCTTATAGAAGTCCTATAGAAAACAAAGGGAATATATTTCACTTATTTTAAAGCTTTGCCTGTACTGTTGTGTTTAATCTATATAGCACATGAATCTAGAAAAATATTTCGTGGCCAGGTGTGGTGTGTGGTGGCTCATGCCTATAATTCCAGCACTTTGGGATTCCAAGGCGGGTGGTTAGCTAAACCCAAGAGTTTGTGAGACCCACCTGGGGAACATGGATAAACCCCTTCTCTTAAAAAAAAAAGAATTACCCAGGCATAGTGGGTCATGCCTGTAGTCCCAGCTACTCAGGAGGCTGGGGTAGGAGGATCACTTGAGCCCAGGAGGTCAAGGCTGCAGTGAGCGGAGATCACACCACTGCGCTCCAGCCTTGGTAAAAATAAAAATATTTTGTGCATTTTTGCAGATAATGATACCGTGACATAGTTTTCTAAATGGTTCATCCTGGTAATAAACAGCAGAGTTGGACTTCAAACTCAAGTCTAACCCCAAACCTCCAAGTTACATCAATAGAAGTGATCTGCTTGATCCCTACTCATTGCTCACAAAATATGGCTACAGTGTGGGCTTCTTGGAACCCCTGGGGATTTCTAAATAACTTTTGAAAATTAATGATACAAACTCATATTTTGACAATTAATATAAGAGTTAGAGCTCATTCCACCATGCCTCATGAATTAAGTTTTAGGTTAGCGAATCTAGCATTAATGCATCAAAAAATTGCACAGAAGGCTCATGGGAAGTCACTGTACAAGTGACTACCATTTCCCATATTATTTATAACAACAAAAATGGAAGTGTTTCCTGTAGTCAAAAGAAAGCTATTGCATTATGTGATGTGTCATCATTTAAAATAAGCAGTAATGTGTTGTAACATTAAGTGCCCTATTCCCTGTAAAACATTTTTTCATGTAACACCAGCTAGGCCGATGTATAGATCCAGCAATTGCTATATTAGTTACATGGGCTTCATCAAAGTCAGGGGGTGAAATAATAAATACTGTCCTCAAGAAGATATTGAGTGTGCAGGTATAATTTATAATTTAGTTCTTTCATTATGAATCCTAATTTTTCCCTCATAATCTCAACTATCTGCAGAACAACCATTCCTTCTTCCAAAAATCTAACCAAATACCTCCTCCCAAGATCTTTTTTTAAGATAGAGACATCAGTACAGGCTCAGCCAGAGAAGCAGCATTTTATGTACACACACACCCAAACACACATATATATGTATATACATACACAGAAATATATGATACAAATTAGTACATACGTGTGTGTGTGTGTGTATGTATATATATTCTGACAGGTGCATAACCTTGATTTTTATATATACAAAATAAATGTACATATAAAATTTATACATAGTATATATATATACACACACATATATATGCACACACATATATAAAAGAGAGAGACAGAGACACACACACACAGATATTATAGCAAGAAATTTGCTTACAGAACAATTGTGAGCATCTGAAATCCACAGAGAATGCCATCTGGAGAAGGGAATACCTGTGCAGACTGAAACTCATGGCCATGTGTATGAGCTACTGTACACAGGCAGAATATTTTCTTCTTGGAAAAACTTGAGCCTTGCTTTTAAGGTATATAACTGATTGAATGAAGCCCACCTAGAGTATACAGGATAATCTCACTTACTTAAAGTCAATTGATTAGGGGTTTTAATTATACCAGCAGCAACACCTAGATTAGTGTTTGATTAAATAACTGGAGACTGTAGCTCAGCCAAGTTGACACATACAAAAATAAAAATCCCAAAGGAGCTCGAGACAACATATTGTTCAGTCACTTATTACTGTCTACTTTATTTACATTTTCCTTTTCTATTTGCCTGATCATAATCATGGCTTGGCTATTGCAATGCTTAAAGTGTTAGGAGCTCCAATTGTCAAGGCAACAAAAACGAGTGTACGCTGAACAACTTCAGCTGGAACTTTTCTTCCATTTGTTTAAATGCCAGCTCTACTTCTTGTAATGGGAGACATTCTCTATTTCAAGTTACCCCGTATTGTATGTCTGCTGCATAATAACCTGTATATTTTTGTTAACTTTGTTATATTTATTATATTTATATTGCCTTTAAATTTTCACTTTCTCTTATACAGCAAGGTCCCTATCTGCTTAGAACTATGCAGCTGACAATAGGTAAAATATAGACATGAAAAGTCATCCGGTTGAAATGAAGATGGAGATGAAAGTATACCTGAGGAAATCAAAAGGTCAATAGTAGAATGAAGATCTATGTGGAAGACAGTCACAAACAAGACTTATTCATTAAACACGGAATCAGAATGCACAGAAAACACTCAAGAGAACTCCTAAAGGACAAAACTTGAAGAACCAATAACATATAAAAATATGCCATGGGTTTAAACTATATAAAGAAAAACATCTGAGAAAAAGCAATAGTCAAAGATTTAATAGATTCAGCATTATCTAAGTAAAAGGGAGATTGGTATATGAAGGTTGTTAAGATTAATCATCTGCCAAAAAATTAATAAAGACGTATATGTCTAGATTCTTTAAAAACAAATGTTATGTGGTAAAGAAAAAATCCTATAAACAGCCAGGCATCAAAAATAGGTACTCTGTAAGAAAACAAAATTAGGCAGGTTTCTCAAACGTTTATACATAATTAAATTTTTAAAAAATCAAGGCGAGCAATATCTATAGATTTTGACCAAAATAAATTGGAAATGAAATTGTATACACCTTTGATGCCATTTTCTATGAACGCATGGAAAATAATACTCTTGATAAAATACAATCAACGTTTCTTATTAAAATAATAATTAGAGTCATCTAGTGGACTATGGCAGAGACAAACCAGAGTACAGAATCTCTCTTCTATCAAACTAATAAAATTACAAAAAAGGATAAATTTGCAAAAATGGACACCAGAAGGATTGGAGCCAAAGGAGGGTTAGAATCCAATGACACATTTCTGTAGCCAGACTTGACTGAGTAACTGATACTGGGTTTCTCTCAGCCTGGACAAAATATACGAAGTCACAATTTTCCTGTGGAGCAGGACAGTGATTCTAGGGAGAAGGAAACTGTGTGAGGTGCATCTCCCATCTGGCTTGGCTTTGTGGCTGGGGTGCTGTCCTGACTGCAGCAGAGGATGGCAGAGCCTATCAAGGTCATAGCACCTTCCCTGAGCTGAGGAGACATTTATGTGGGTGCAGAGTTTCCGCTGTCAGCAAAGTTAGGATGTGTGAGGCAGGACCCTTGAGAGAGGGTGCTCCACAAAAGAGGGGTGACAGTGTTCTCAGTGTAGATTTCCCATTGGTGCCCAAAGACATGCACATGATGAGCTTCTGTGAGGCCAGGGATGATGGACTGTAGCAGGCCTGGGAGCTAACTGGAGACACTAGAGGCCACCTGATGCTGAGTGCCACTGCAGTTCTGGTGCAGCCATGTGGAGAGGAAAGACATCACAGGGCACCGTGGGCCTTTCTGTAGAGACCAGATAAAGGCCACAGTGTAAGAATAGGACTGCATTCATCAGCTGAAGTTGCTAAAAAAAAATTCACGTACTGGGAGATTTAAACCACTGACATTTATATCTCACAGTTCTGAAGGCTAGGAAGTCCAAGATCAATTTCACTTTTGTGTGTGTGTGTGTGTGTGTGTGTGTGTGTGTGTGTGTGTGTGAGACAGAGTGTTTCTCTTGTCACCCAGCTCACCCAGGCTGTAGTGCAGTGATGCAATCCAGGCTCCAGCAATCCTCCTACCTCAGCCCTCCAAGTAGCTGAGAGTATAGGCGCCTGCCACCACGCCCAGCAAATTTTTGTGTTTTTTTGTACAGATGGGTTTTTACCATGTTGTTCAAGCTGGCCTTGAACTTCTGAGCTCAAGTGAACCATCTGCCTCGGCCTCCCAAAGAGCTGGGATTACAGGCATGAGCCACTGTGCCCGGCACACTTCTTGCCTTTCTATTTTGACTTCTTTTATTGTTCTCACTTGCCTAATTGCTCTGACAAGGGTTTTTTAGTACCATGTTGAATAGAAGGGGTAAGAGTGGATATCCTTGTCTTATTTATCATCTTAGAGGAAAAGCTTCCAGCTTTTCAGCATTGCATATAATGTTAGTTGTAAGCTTGTTATTTATGGCCTTTATTGCATTGCAGTACATTCCTTCTACACCTGATTTCATGAGTTTTTTTTCATAAAAGGATGTTGGATTTTTGCCAAATGCTTCTTCTGCATCTAATGAGATTCAGTTTTGTCTTTCATGCTGTTAATATCGTATATCACATTTTTGTTAATGTGATATATTATACTTTTGTTCAAGAAATTAAAGAAAACATAAATAAATGAAAGGATATGTCATATTCATGGATTGGAAGAATATTGTTATAATTTTCCATACTATTCAAAGCAATTTACAGATTCAATACAATCCCTATCAAAACTGCATTGTGTCATTTTTCATAGAAATAGCAAAAACAATTCTAAAATTCAAATAGAATCACTAAAACAGCTGAGTAGCCAAGGGTATCTTTAACAAAAAGCACAAAGCTATAGGCATCATACTACATATATTTCAAAAATATAGTAATTAAAACAGTATGTTGCTGGCATAAAAACAGACACAATGACCAATGGAACTCAATAGAGAGTCTAGAAATAAATCCACCAATATATGGCCAATTGATTTTTGACAAAGGTGGCAAGAAGATACAATGGGAAAAAGCCAGGGTCTTCAATTAAGGGTGCCAGAAAAACTGGTATTCACCTACAGAAGAATAAAATTGAACCCTTTTCTCATACAGTTATGAAATTCAACTCAAAATGAATCAAAGACTTAAATGTAAGATCTAAAACTCAAAAGCAACTAGAAGAAAACACAGGGGGAAAACTACATGACATTTGGCAAGGCAATTTTTTTGCAGGGAGGGTGTTTACTCTAAAACTGGAGGCAACAAAAAGCAAAAATAGACAAACTGTATTACATAAAGGTAAAATCCTTCTGCATAGTAAAGGAAACAATTAACAGAGTCAAGTGACAACCCACAGATTGTAAGAAAATATTTGCTACCACATATCTGAGATGTGGCAAAGGTCTAAAATATATAAAAAACTCAAATAACCCAATTAATACATGGACAAAGGACTTGAATAGACATTTCTCCAAAGAAGACATATGAATGTCCAACAGAATATAAAAAAATTGCTCAATATCTGTAACCACCAGGGAAATGCAAATGAAAACCACTATACATGTCAGAATGGCTATGATCAAAAAGATGAAAGAGGCTGGGCATGGTGGCTCATGCCTGTAATCCCAGCACTTTGTGAGGTTGAGGCAGGTGGATCATCTGAGGTCAGGAGCTCGAGACCAGCCTGACCAACTTGGAGAAACCCGTCTCTACTAAAAATACAAAATTAGCCGGGTATGGCGGTACGTGCCTGTAATCCCAGCTACTTGGGAGGCTGAGGCAGGAGAATTGTTTGAACCCAGGAAGCAAAGGTTGTGGTGAGCCAAGATCACACGGTTGGACTCCAGCCTGAGCAACAAGAGCAAAATTCTGTCTCAGAAAAAAAAAAAAGATGAAAGATAAATTAGTGAGGATGTGGAGAAAGGGGAACCCTGGTACAATCTTGGTGGGGATGTAAATTAGTACAGCTATTGTGGAAAACTGACTGTAAGGAGATTCCTTAAGAAACTAAAAATATAACTACCATATGATACAGCAATCCCACCTGTGGGTATATATCCAAGGGATTTGAAACCAATATATCAAAGAGATCTCTGCATTCCCACGTTCATTACAGCATTGCAGCACTATTCACAATAGCCAAGATATGGAATTAACCTAAGTGTTCATCCAAAGATGAATGGATAAAGAGCATTTGGTATACTAAAAATGGAATACTCTTCAGGCTTAAAAAAGGAAATTCTGTGATTTATGATAATGTAGATAAACCTGGAGGACATTATGTTAAGTGAAACATGCCAGGAACCGAAAGATAAATACCGCATACTCCCACTTTTATGTGTAACCTAAAACAATGAAAACCATAGAAGCAGAGAGTAGAATGAAGGTTACCAGAGTGTGGGGAGTCAGGGGTATGAAGACATATTGTCAAAGGGTGCAAAGATTTAGTTAGAAAGGAGAAATAACTTTTTTGAGTTGTACTGTCCAGTGTGGTGATTATAGTTAATAATTGCATATTGTATCTTCTAAAATGGTAAGTATATGAGATGGCAGAATGTTAGTTAGCTTGACTTAATCATTTCACATTGTATACATATATTGTAACATCGCTTTCTATCCCGTAAATATATGAGATACTTTGTCAATTTATGCTGAAAAATAAAAAGCTGTGAGCTTAAGAAAAGTGTGAGAATTTAGCATTTAATACATGGAGGGAAGAAAAAGTAAGACAAGAACAAGGGGAAGGGGGAAGGTCTATAAAATCAAAGAAGTCCTTTAATTCCTCTCTATGGGAAGATGGTAGAGGCATCAATGAGTTTTATACTAAGTGGCAATGAAGCATATTGAAAGATTGTTATCAAAGAATTATATGCATGATTTCATGATTTCAGAGATGATGAGACACAGTGCTTTGCTTTAGGAGAGAGTATCTGAAATAAAGTAGGGGAGAGCTTCTCCAGAATCACTGAATGGGAGTAGAAATTGTCGATGAAAGTGAGAAGCAAGCAAAAAGCCTAGGTGTTGAAGTCTCCCTCTGTGATAGCTACACCCTAGTGAAAATAAATACCGCAATTCAACATTTTCAGTGAGGCAGTATGTAGATGATCAAGCTGGAGAGTTAGAGAGGCCTTGAGCCTTAAAGAAGTCAAGATTTGTGTAAAAATACTAGAGAGTAATTCCTGGGATGCCACAGTCTCACTGGATATTAAGATTCTGAGTCCATGGAAGAAAAGTCAGCTTCCACTAGAGCAGGGTCTGGAGAAGTGGACAGGGAGAGGAGTGCTGGGCTTCAGGTCAGGGAACGTAACCCACATCCAGTGAGGTGGAAGAGCTGGGACGTCAGTTACGAGATTAAAGCAAGGTGTGATGAAACCATCTGGGGATAACAAAGTGGAGGCTTTGTATGTTGTTTATGACCTCTGCTTCCCCAGTAGAAATGACTGCCTGGGAAAGAAGGATTGACCTTGGTGAAGTCTTCCCTTTTTCACACTGACTGAGAGGATTAATAATGTGAGTCATGGTCAGAGTTAGCTGACCTCAAGATAATACATGTAGATCAGTGATCCTCAAAGGGTGATTGCCAGGACAGTGGCATTGGATCAACTGTGAACTTGTTAGAGATACAAATTTGGGGGCCCTGCCCCATATCTACTAAATCACAAGTTCTAGGATTGGAGCCCAGGTGTTTTAATAAGCCTTTCAAGTGATTCTGATATATATGCAAGTTTGAGAGTCACTGGCCTCTACAATCCCAGGGTGACTGTTGAGGAGGATGCTGAGATCTCTCGATTTATTTGTGGTTGTGAAGGAAACTTGAGGGATATGCTAGGAGATGACAGCTGTTGGCAGCAAGTAAAGGGATAAGAGAGTGGATTCCCTTATGATCTTCAAGCATAAGATATTAAAATATATTTTAAAATATCACCTATGTTAAAACATTTACTGATATCTAAAATTTTGTTCAGCAGCATATCTGCACACTCACCTAATCCAAATGTTACTGTTGCAGATTGAGGAGCTGATAGCAGTGGCAAACAAAACACTTCAGGTTGACACAGAACATTCTTTTGTTCAAAACATGTTTTAGTATATACTACATATCTGATATTATAGGTACTATGCACTGGAAATTTAATGGTACATCAATAATAAAAAAGAAAACTTACATTCTAAAGGAGAAAACAAACATACACTAATTATTACACTGCAATCTCAGGGTTAACTTCCACTTTGTGAAAGGGAATGTAGTGTATGTAATAAGAAAAGAACAATGTGAGATAACCAGTGGAGTCCCGTTTTTATACAGTAGTCACCATCAAGTTGGATTTTTAATGAGCAAAAAGTTTCCCAAGTGAAAAAGTTGAAGAAAATTAGGTAAAACTGCATGATCAAAGCCAAAGTGACAGTATAAGATATGCAATATGGGCTGGAGAGTAGGATGTGAATGTTTAAAGTAAGTTTAAAAAAGTAAACTGGGCCAGCATGTGCGTCTAACACACATGCTTTATTTAGACTCACTGAAACCATCTTTTTGGGAAAACTTCTGGACACTTTAGTTGCATTTTCTACAAACAAGGATATTCCCCTGCAAATGCCACCAAAAAAACTAGGAAATTAAGATTCATACATTACTACCAACCAATCCTCGAACCCCATTTAAATTTTGCCAGTGCCCTTTAGAGCAAAAGGACCATGTCCAGCATCACCTGCTGCACTGAGTTACCACTTCCTTTCCAACTCCTTAAGTCTGTTTCCCTAGACTCTCCTTCTTTACCTTGACTTGAACACTTCTGAAGGGCACAGGGCCGTTACCATATAGAATGCTCCTCAGTTGGTTCTTCCTGGCATCTCTTCATGATTATGGTTCAGTGATGCATCTTTGATAAGAATTTTACTGAAGTTATTAATATTAGGTTGGTGCAGAAGTAATTGTGGTTTTTGACATTAAAAGTGATTGCAGGACAGGTGCAGCGGCTCACGCCTATAATCCCAGCACTTTGGGAGGCCAAGGCAGGTGGATCACAATGTCAAGAGATTGAGACTATCCTGGCCAACATGGTGAAACCCTGTCTCTATTAAAAATAGAAAAATTAGCTGGGTGTGGTGGTGCGTACCTGTAGTCCCAGTTACTCGGGAGGCTGAGGCAGGAGAATCACTTGAACCCTGGAGGTGGAGGTTGCAGTGAGCTGAGATCATGCCACTGCATTCCAGCCTGGCAACAGAGCAAGACTCCATCTCAAAAAAAAAAAAAAAATGATGGCAAAACTGTAATTACATTTGCACCCACCTAATATGTGGGTTCTTCTCATTCCGTCTTATCCAGCAGTTCACGAGGTTTTGATTTGTCCCTAAACTCTTGATGTTAATGTCGATCCCTTCATTAAGGTGGGATCTGCTAGGCTTTGTCACTGTAAAGTTGCTTTTTGACTTCTATGCAATCAGTAATTATTTCGTAGGGAGGCATATTTGTAGATGTGTATTTCCTATTCCTTGTTGAATTTTAACTCATTTCTGGAGTCCTATTTTATGCAGTCTTATTCAGTGAGTTATAATGCATTATTAGCATTCATTTAGATACCCAAATTGTCCTATAGTTGACCAGCGGGAGCCCCTTCACATGGGTCCCTGTGCCCTTTTATGCCTTACTACCATTTTTTGAGCACACACCTCCTCCGTCTTAGAAACGAGATATATTGAGACCATCTTACAATTTCCCTGCCCCATCCTTGGAATCAACCTGGTTCCTCTTAGAGGACAATGTTATTTATTAACCAAGACCTGAGTACTAGGTCTTCTCATTGCTGCTGGGGTGTCTCTTTCCCCAGGTCTTTTCAGTGGACAGAGATAGGGAGCATATGTGTGACTATATCTGTGTACATACATACATACGTACACATATGCACACACACATACTAACACACATTTCCATCTGTTCTTTATCTACACATATATATTGAGTTCATACCAACCTCTCTAACTCCAATTCAGTAACACAGGGCTTATTTTTCTACCCTGTGTCTATTTGCAGTTTTCTCCTCTGACATTAATAAACATGATTCTCATTCCCTTACTTACACACTCAATCTGTCTATAGGTATCAATTTCTTTTTGCCACCATCAAGCTTGCCTCCACCAACCCCACCAGCATCCTCCTCTGCCCTCCTCTGGCTCCCACACCCTGCATGGTCCACCCTCATTCCTACTGAATATGAAAGTCCTCCTCACCCTGCCTGGGCTCAGATATCACTAGGGAAAGAAGCCTCCATCTCCCTCTTGGGTTTGAATGCTGTGGTGCACAGCCTTCCACAGGGTGGCCTTTCTCACCTTGTTCCAACCCTTGTGTAGGACTGCCTCACACACCAGCCCTGCACAGATAGCCTTCTCACTCAGCTTGGGCTCCCACACCTCACCCTGGCCCACCTCCTTTTCACTCCTTGTGTGGTCACCTGCCTTGTCCTGCTGTGCTCTATCATCTACAGCCAGCTGCCCTACAGAGTCAGCACTGTCCTCACCTGCAAGCCTTCAACACCCCTGTGGGGCCCTGGGGCCCTCTCACATTCACTCTTCATAGCACTCTCCTCCCTCAAGGGATCCGCACCTTGCCTGGTTCCACCCAATGGGTTTGGAGTTAATTTTCAAGAAGGGAACTGACATGGTTTGGCTGTGTCCCCACATAAATATCATCCTGAATTATAGCTCCCATAATCCCCAAATGTTGTGGGAGGGACCTGGTGGGAGATAATTGAATCATGGGGTCAGTTTTCCCCATACTGTTATCGTGGTAGTGAATACATCTCATGAGATCTGATGGTTTGATAAGGGGTTCCCCTTTTCGCTTCGTTCTCATTCACTCTTGTCGCCATGTAAGACGTGCCTTTCACCTTCCGCCATGGTTGTGAGGCCTCCCCAGCTGTGCTGAACTGTGAGTCCATAAAACCTCTCTTTCTTTATAAATTACCCAGTCTTGGGTATATCTTCATCAGCAATGTAAAAACAGACTAATACAGAAACAGTGGGCAAATGGGAAGGTGAAGGAGAAGATAAAAAGGAAGAGAAAAAGCTGTCAGTATTTTTAAACAGAGCAAAGCATATACTGGATTTGAGTTTTAGAGAAATGCATTTGGAAGCAATAAGGGGGCCTGGTTGAGAAGCCGTGAGTCTGGCGGGGTCAGTAATGAGAATTTCTCATTACTATAATACACCAGATGCTGCATTGCTGATAGATGTCTGCTAGGTGACAGTACAGCACGATTTTTTAAAAGAGGGAAAAAAACCCGTTCTAAACCTTGAAAACAATGATGATTAAGTAATCTGTAGGTAAAGGAAAGGAAGGGATCGACGCTGATATGGAGTTTTAGCTCCAGTTTGGGATTTGGCAGAGGTGATATTTAAACATTTGAGGACCTTCTTCTTCTAAATAATCCTTTCTCTGGCCTCTCCCCAGGGCTTAGTATGGTTTCTAACCTTCCTAACACCATTCTTTTAGGTCCATACTCAGTTTTAGACTCACATCGTCATGCACGCCTCTCAAATTTTAGTGCTTTCCTTTAAATGTCTCATAAAAGAACTCTCCAAACAGTAAATATTCCCCAAATATCTATCTTTGCAAATGATGTAAGCTTATAGAGCTAGCCAAATATTTCATTTTGTTCCTAGGAACCTTATCGTTTGTCATATTTATTCTTCAATTCAAATTAAATGTTAAAACATATATTGTAACAATCTTAATAAAACACATGGCTATCTGACTTTTAGTCAGATATGAAATATGAATCTCCAACAGATCACAATAGCATTAGAAAACAAGGAATGTAACACCACTAGAGTTATTTAAATTGCAGCAGAGTCAGCAACCATGAACTTGAATGTTATTCAAGCTACTTAACTAAGCATTTCTCTGCGAGAAAATGGCTTTTATCCAATTAAAAAATGGCTGGAGTAAATACCAAAGAATAACATAGAAAACAAAAAATAGACACTGTTTTGTAATCAAAGTTTTGAAACACACAAAGAAGGGCAAACTTGCTCAATTTCTGGAAGCTGAAGACTGTATCACCCATTTCTTTTTCAGTTTTTGTTCCTGCTCCAATATCCACATGTTTTTATCAGCACAGGCACAGCAAAAGCCTCTCCGTCATGGACGGCTCCTCCTAACTGGGGTAATAAGACACACTCAATTCCTTCCCCAGTGATGGTACTATGAAAAAAATATCTGTTAATACATTTTGGATGAGGTTATCTATAGAAAGCTTGGGAAAAAGAAATTAAGTATTTGGAACATTTTGGATTCTAACTTTGGCCTGAAATAGTATGGTCATCTTTTAAAATTACTTCATTACACCTTATCCTAATTTCAATTTTCTCCTATTTAATTTTGGTTTCCTAAGCCCAAGTGCAGTACCGAACATACATGAAGGGCTTATTAAGTTTTTGCTACTTAAACAAATTTGGCATTGTTTTTGCCTTTTCCATAGTCATCACAAAGGCAGTATATAAAAATTCTGACAATAAGAGAGAAGGTTCTGGTATGTCTGGTGTGCTGAGCAACTATAATGGAGTTGTTTATTCATTTAGAGAACCTATTGTGGGTCTGCTATTGTCAAAGCACTGGGCATAAGTCTGGAAGAGAATAAAATGATAATTAAGGGCTGTATCTTAAAAGAGCATTTAATATTAGAGCAGTGCTAAGATATGGAAATATTTAACTAAAATCAGCTTTTGCATTAGAACTATATACATGTTAGAAATTTCTGTTAGGATGTAGAGAAGGAAGAGAGACATCATTATAAGCTAAGTTGGATTTTGGCTATATTAAGCAAAGTTAAGATATTTAGATTAGAGTACAACTGGACTTCTGCTTGTACAAATTATTAGAATCTTTTCTAAAGCTTCTACCTATAACAAAAAGAGTGACATAAAACCAGACCTAACAGGGTGGTTGAAGATAAACCAGAGATATGGAAACTGATACCATCACTGGAGAACTACCACCGTAAAGACTAATGGAGAATCTGAATCCAATCATAGAGACTCACAAAATGCCAAGAAATCTGAATGTTTATGTCCCGCAAAATTCATATACTATAATTCTAATCCTCCAAAGTGATATTAGGAGATGGGGCCTTTGGGAGGTGATTAGGTAATAAGGGCGGTCCTCATCATGGGATTAGTACCCTTATTAAAGGGGTTCATCCCAGGAGACAGAGCTTGCAGTGAGCTGAGATTGTGCCACTGCACTCCTGAACTCCAGCCTGGGCGACAGGGTGAGACTCCGTCTCAAAAAAAAAAAAAAGGTGGGGGGTTCATGAGAGACCCCTCACCCCTTCCACCATGTGAAGATACAATGAAAGGTTGGCAGTCTACAACTCAAAAGAGGGCCATCACTAGATCCTGATGGTGCTGAACCCTAATCTCAGACTGCCAGCCTCCAGAATGTTGAGAAATCAGTCTCTATAGTTCATGAGCCACCCAGTCTATAGTATTTTTCAATAACATCCCTAATGGACTAGGACAAGAATATTACATTATCTAAATTCTAGCAGTCTGGATAGGTAAAGCTGTAGTTGCCAATACTAAAAAGTGGAATTTTAAAATAACTTTTAAGGGAGAGAAAATTTTCTGTTAGATTCCTTTTTTAATTAATAAATCTATGTGTCACTTTTAGCAAACTCTTTCTTTTAGGTAAATCCTTGGTTCTGCCCTTAGATTCTTGCCCTAAAGAACCTAATCTGCCACTTAGTTATTGATTTCTTGCTGGCAGAGCTTCAAACGAGATACATGTACATTTCTGACCCATGCCCATATGACCATTTCCTTGTTTAGCATCATTATTCAGTAATTTGTCTTGGTAATCTCACTTGATTTTTCTCCTGGATAATTTTTCTCCTTGATTAATCCAATTCTATTTCTCAATTAAATTCTTCTGAGAGAATATATTGCTTTGTAATTGACCTCTCAGCTAGATAAAAGGATACTTAAATATATTGGATATTGGCTTTTTGCAACAAGGGTTATTCAGTCTCTTATAACTAGGGCAATGGGTGGAATAACCTGCATTCTCTTCTGTTTCCCCTACAACCTCAAACACAGAAGGAAGACAAATGTCTGAGATAACAAATGCATCATGGTGCACAGGTAAGTTTCTGAATACCTGGAATGCTATCCTGTTCCTCACTCGATATCTGCCATTTACAACTTACACCATGAATATACTTGGAATATGTTGCAAATACATGTAATAGGTGACACAGTCCTTTAAAGGTCCATTTTGCCAGAAACAGTAAAATGAAAAAAAATAAATGCTTGTCAAAAGAATTTCAAATATCTGTGAAGATAAATGTAAAGTGTCTAGGTAAAGAGGAACTAGTCTTAGAAGTCCTGCATTAGGAAAAAGAAAGCTACCAACTTTTCAGACTAACCATTAATGTGTGTGTGTGTGTGTAATTTTATATATATATTTCCAAAGTATTGTTTTATATATTTTTACACTACACACAGTAACTTCTCATTTTAAAATCAAAAAGATGATGATGTATATGAGCTTTGTAATAGCATATTTGTATTAAATTTATATGCTATGTTTTAGCTTTGACTTCAGAAAATAGTCAAATATTATAGTCCTTAATATGTGCCGTTAGTGTCCTTGTATTCACAAAACAACGTCAATGGGTTTCATTGCAAATATAAGAGATATACATACCTCTTAAATTATGTGACTGCCGAATACTAACAGTGAGAGGTTATAATACAGAATGTATTTTTCTCATAAAAAGACAGAATAGCTGGCTGTGGGTTGATCTAAGTAAAGCTATTTCAAATGCCTTACACCTGCACTCATTTTGATAAACCTCATCTTAATTCCAAGTATATTACATTAAAAAGCCCATTTGTATTTGGGATTTTAAAAAGGCATAGAAAATCACATTAATCTGTGAAATTCTGACAAAAATGTAGAAATCACAACAAGATCCTTTTGTTTACAGAAAGAAACAGTGAGAAAGCGCCAGTGTAACACTAGATATGAACACCAAGGTCATGAACACCAGGGACGTGAACACCAAGAACATGAAAACCAGGGTCATGAACACCAGGGACATGAACACCAGGAACATGAACACCAAGGTCATGAACACCAGGGACATGAACACCAGCGACATGAACACCAGCGTCATGAAGACCAGCGACATGAACACCAGGGACATGAACACCAGGAACATGAACACCAAGGTCATGAACACCAGGCACATGAACACCAGGGTCATGAACACCAGGGACATGAACACCAGCGACATGAACACCAGGGACATGAACACCAGCGTCATGAAGACCAGCGACATGAACACCAGGGACATGAACACCAGCGACATGAACACCAGGGACATGAACACCAGCGACATGAACACCAGGGACATGAACACCAGCGTCATGAACACCAGCGACATGAACACCAGCGTCATGAACACCAGGGACATGAACACCAGCGTCATGAACACCAGGGACATGAACACCAGGAACATGAACACCAAGGTCATGAACACGAGGCACATGAACACCAGGGTCATGAACACCAGGGACATGAACACCAGCGACATGAACACCAGGGACATGAACACCAGCGTCATGAAGACCAGCGACATGAACACCAGGGACATGAACACCAGCGTCATGAACACCAGCGACATGAACACCAGCGTCATGAACACCAGGGACATGAACACCAGCGTCATGAACACCAGCGACATGAACACCAACGTTACGAACACCAGCGTCACGAACACCAGCGACATGAACACCAGCGTCATGAACACCAGGGACATGAACACCAGCGTTACGAACACCAGCGTTACAAACGCCAGGGTCCTGAACACCATTGTCATGAACAACAGGGACACAAACACCAGGGTCATGAACACCAGCGTCATGAACACCAGCGACATGAACACCAGCGACATGAACACCAGCGTCATGAACACCAGGGACATGAACACCAGCGTCATGAACACCAGCGACATGAACACCAGCGACATGAACACCAGCGTCACGAACACCAGGGACATGAACACCAGCGTCATGAACACCAGCGACATGAACACCAACGTTACGAACACCAGCGTCACGAACACCAGGGACATGAACACCAGCGTTACGAACGCCAGGGTCCTGAACACCATTGTCATGAACAACAGGGACACAAACACCAGGGTCATGAACACCAAGTATCATGAGAGACCTAGGAGGGATTTTTACCATATATATTTTACTTTCTTTTATTTCTTAGTGCCAAGACCCCCCAGAAGCTTCCTTTGGTTATTAAAAAATACTCTATGCCTACCTAGAATTTTATATTCTGAATAAAATACTAGAAAAATATAACTTATTGCTTAAAAACACAGATTCTGAAGACAGATATGAGTTAGAATTGAGACTTGCCCACTTTCTGTAGAACCTTGATCAAGTTATTGTGCATCCGTTGGTGAGTTGTTTAATTTTTCAGAGGATATTTTCTCAGCCATCATTGTGAAAAATGACAGTATCTTTCTCTCTAATTACTATAAGGATTAAAATCGGTTAACAGAATGTCTACTCCTGGCTACGCTGTAGAATTTTGTAAAACAACAATCCCCTTAAGAACTACTTGAAAAGCCAGATGAAAGACAATAATTCTCTATGTAAAGTCATCAGAAATCTGTGTAAGTAATGAGGACTAGAGGGATGGTCTTATTCTGTTCTGGCTGCTATAACAAAGTACTAAAAACTGGGTAGCTTATGAGCAATAGAATTTTATTTCTGACTGTTCTGGGGGCTAGGAAGTACAAGATCACAGCAGATTCAGTGTCTGGTGAGGGCTCGCTTCCTGGTTCATAGACAGTGCCTCCTAGCTGTGTTCTCATGTGTTGGATGGGGCAGGGTGTCTCTCTGGGGCCTCTTCTTTATGGGCACTAATTCTATTTATGAGGGCTCTATCCCCATGAGCTAATCACCTCCCAAAGGCCCCACTTCCTAGCACCATCACATCGCAGGTGAGGATTTCAACATATGAATTTAGGGAAGACCCAGGCATTTTGACCACAGCAAGGGGGCAAAGCTATGGAGTGGAGAGTACCTCTGTATTAGTTCATTCTTGCATTGCTATAAAGGAATACGTGAGACTGGGTAATTTATAAAGAAAAGAGGTTTAGTTAGCTCACAGTTCTGTAGACTGTACAGGAAGCATAGTGGCTTCTGCCTCTGCGGAGGCCTCAGGAAACCTATAACCATTGCTGAAGGCAAAGAGAAAGCAGGCAACAGGTGGGGGGTGCATAGGTGCTATACATTTTGAGCAACCAGATCTTGTGAGAACTCACTCATTATACAGTACCAAGGGGGTGTGGTTCTCATTCATGAGAAATTTACCCCCATAATCCAATCGCCTCTCACCAGGCCTCTTCCTTAACACTGGGGATTACAATGCCACATGAGATTTGGGTGGGGACTTAGAGCCGAACCATATCAACCTCTGAAAAGCAAGCTAAGGGTATACAGCTGATTTTCTCTGGGAAGCACTTTGTGATTCTTGATGTGGACTACCAACTGGGAATCTAGGCTCGGCCAAGGAACACGGCCATTGATAAGTTAGTAAAACCAGGTAAACTTTTGGCTGACACTTGAAAATACCAACACACAGACAGTTTCTTTCTCATTTTCAGAAGCCTAAATTTATGTTGAATGGGAGCTTAAGAACTGTAGAGGGCTGTGCCTTACAAACAGGTTTGAGCTAGAGGAAACAGCTTTATAAAACTGCAATCTAATCTCAACACAGCCCATTCCTTCACTTAAAAAATGTACCTAGTCCTCTTCCCTATTCTCTGGTAAAGATTGACTCCTTTCTGGTGAAATATAATATTACCATGAGCCTCTGTATTTTCTCTTACATAATGTGCAATATTTAATAGCTATAAGGAATTCCAAATGTTCCGGTTATTTATTGGTATTTAGCAAACTACACCAGACCTCAGTGGTTTAAAATCATTCAAGAATCATGTATTGTTTCTATTATCTGCAGCATGAGCAATGTAACCACACAGCTTCAGCTTGGGCAGATCAACTTAGGCTGGAGGGTGTGCATCAAAGGTGACTCTCATATGTACACCAAATAGTGCTGGCTGTTGCTTGTGAACTCAATGGTAGTAGTTTGATGGGAGTCTTTGTTTCTCTACACATAGGCTTCTCCAGGGGCTGCTTGGGATTCCTCACAAAATATCGCTAGTTTACAAGTGTTAGAAGAGATTGAGGAAACTGAAATATTTCCTATGACCTAATCTTGAAAGTCCAGAATATCACTTTCACCACCTTCTGTTGGTCAAGCAAATAACTAGGGCCAGTCTGAATTCAGGGACAAAGGAATCAGACTTCCTTGATCAGTGGGACAAACAGGAAAGCATCTGTGATATCTTTAATCTATGACATTAAGAAAGAATATCATAGGGCTTAATACCAAGGGGAGAAAACATAGAATGGGAAAAAGCTAATAGGTGATACAGATATTGAAGTAATAAGAATTTTAAAATAACTATTATTGATATGTTTAAGACAATAGAGGAAAAGAGAAAAATAGAACAAATGATTAGACTTGCCCAAGAGAATCTAAATATTTTTTAAAAATCAAATGGAAATCCTAGACCTCAAAAGTACAAAATCAGAAATTAAGGAAGTAATGGACAGATTGAACTGCATAGCACACACACCAGAACACAAAACTGGGAAACAGAAAAACAGGTTGTTGGAGATATTCAAACTAAGCACATAGTGAACTGTGAATGAAGAATGGAGAACCACCCTTAGGCACATTTTAGTAAAACTGATGAGAGCAAAGGGAATTGAACAATGAGAACACATGGACACAGGAAGGGAAACATCACACACCGGGGACTGTTGTGGGGTGGGGGGAGGGGGGAGGGATAGCATTAGGAGATATAACTAATGCTAAATGACGAGTTAATGGGTGCAGCACACCAACATGGCACATGTGTACATATGTAACAAATGTGCACGTTGTGCACATGTACCCTAAAACTTAAAGTATAATAATAATAAAATTAAAAAAAATAGCTGGAGGGATAAAAAAGTTACCTTAAATAGAAGAATTCCTGACTTTCCAAGAAAAATTATGGGAATCCAGAAGACAGTGGATATATATCTTTTACATAGTGTAATAAAATAACTGAAAATTAATTTTCAAACGTCTACACAAAAGAAAAATAGTCTCCAAAAATAAAGGTAAAATAAAGATGTTTTAAGGCAAGTAAAAACTCAGAGATGTCATCACTGGCATGCTTGCACTTGAAGAAATACTAATAGTAGTTAATTGGGCTAAAATATAGAAAAGGAACAGTAATAGGACAAAAATCCAAGTAAAATATAAGTGAATTTTGACTATAAAAAATAATATGGTTAATTAATATGAAATTTAAAATTATGTAAAAATTTCCTGACAAGAACAACGCAAGAAACTGGAAGAATTAAATGGAGTTAAAGTTTTCAAAGTTTCTAATATTCATAGGAAAGTGAAAAAAATTTATAATATAATATATTAAGAACATATGTTGTAATCTCAAAACAGCACTAACAGAATGGTCCAAAAATATATAATAAACATAAGGAAAATAAAATAATTTTAAAAGTTTCATTAGTCGCCAAACAGCAAGGAAAGAAATTGAAACACATGTCTACTGGTTCAAAGTTTTTTAAAAATATAGTAAGATGGTACATAAAACTCAACTATGCTGTCATTACATTAAATGAACTAAATTATTCAAGAAAAAGATCAATATTTTTAGACTAGATTGAAAAGAAAAACCAAATTATTTGTTTCTTGCAATAAATAAAACTTGCATACAAAACACAGAAATATTGGAAGTAAAAGGATAGAAATAGATATGTCATGCAAAGCTAACCAAAACAAAGCTGACATGAATTTGCAGTAATACTATAAACATAGTAGATGTTCAGGCCAAAAAAAAAAAAAAAAAAAAACTATGAGATGTAAAGAAAAATATATAAAGGAATATATTTAACATTTCAAAATCAACATTCACAAAAACATTCTTTCAAAACATATTAAACAAAAGTTTAATGTGGAGAAACAGATGAATTCACAATCAAACAAATCTTCAGATTATGGAGATTTCAATATATCTCCTTCAATAGCTAACAGAACAAAGAGAAAACTATAAGAAGGAACAGAGAAGATCTAACAAATAGAATCTAAAGAGTTTACCTAATTATAAAAGATTAATAGAATTATGAAATATTGTCTGTTTATGGAACATTGCACCTAACAATAGAGAATTTACCTATTTTCAACATATGGGGTATTTACTAAAATGGATGATATGCTGGGTCATAAAACAAACTTTAACAAATATTAAAAACACAAAATTCCGGCTGGGCGTGGTGACTAACACCTGTAATCCCAGCACTTTGGGAGGTCAAGGTGGGTGGATCACGAGGTCAGGAGTTCGACACCAGCCTGACCAACATGGTAAAACCCCAACTCTACTAAGAATACAAAAATTGGCCGAGCGTGGTGGTGCATGCCCGTAATCCCTGCTACTTGGAAGGCTGAGGCAAGACAATCGCTTGAACTTGGGAGGCGGAGATTGCAGTGAGCCAAGATCGTGCCACTGCACTCCAGCCTGGGAGACAGAGTGAGAATCCATGTCAAAACAAAACAAAAACAAAAGCAAAACAACAAAACCCACAAAATTCCAGATTATGTTTTCTAGGTCTAGTGGAACTGAGTCGGAAATTATTAACAAAAGAAAGAAGAATGGATAAGTAAATATTAGGATATTCTTAATCTCCAGTAAATTAAGCAATATACTTCTAAATAACTCATAAATTAAGGGGAAAAATAGAAGGGAAATTCAAAAACATTTTTAATTGAATAAGAAAAAATACATTAATACTCAGAAGGGGATTCATAATCTAATATTGTTAGAAAGTGAAAGTCTGAAAAATGAATGATCTAAGTTTCTACTGTATAAATAAAGCTGGATAAAAGAACAGCAAATTCACAACAATGAAAGTAGAAGAAGGGAAATATATGGAGAAATTAATGAAATAGAAAATAAATGTATAATAGAGAAAATTAACAAAATCAAAAGTTAGTTGTTGAAAAATATAAAGAAAAAAATTTTATAGCACTCTCACAACAACTACCAATGGGGAAGGGGAATGTGCAGATTATTGCTGGCTGGAAAAAGGAGCAAACAATCAAGAATGAAAAACTGGACATCACTTTATCAGGTATTAAACACATAAAGTTATAAACAACTTCATGTCAATTAATTTGAAACTTTTTATAAATGTTAAAAATTGTCTCAGGAAATACAACTTTCCATACTAGAAAGAGGAAGAAATTGAAAATCTGAACACTACAAAACCTATTAGAGAAGTGGAATCTATTATGCAAAAACATTTCCATAATGAGAATCCCAAGAATAACTGACTTCATTTGTCAATAAGGTAAGTCCAGACTTACCCCAATTCTTCCAGAGAATAGATGTGTTGGTTTGTGTCCCATAAAAAGCAAATGGTGAGGCAGTATTCGATTTATAAGAACTTTATTTGAAAAACATGTTTGTTAAGGATAGAGGGGGAGGGAACAGAAATAGGCTGGGAGAGGCTTCAGACTGGGATACTGGTCTTATCCCTGCGAAAGGAGAGCAGGAAGGAAGGAGAATTAGGCAAAAAGAACTTCAGGACTGCAGAGAAATTCTGAGAAAGTCTTGGCCAGGTGGATGGGGATTCTCTAAGCAAAATTAGAGAAGCCCCACCTCATATAGGAATGGCCTAGCTATAGTACCCTTCCTGTAATCAATCACTTGCTGGAAGTAGATGGGGGATAATGTTTTTTTTTTGGCACAAATGCATGATAGTTTTAATGCTGTGAAAGCCAAAGGTTATCATTCAACTATGCGCCACACAGTGGATTCGCTAAAAAGAAAACTCAAGTGGTATTCCTTCATGGCTGCCGACATAGAATTTAAGGGAATATTTTTAAATCATTTACAAAGACAACATAACATATTGATAATAAAAATCAGACAAATGCATTACAAGAAAGGAAAATGAAGGAGCATTTGCTCTCATGAAGAATCAAAATACTAAATAAAAATTAACAAGTAATTTCAGTTATATGTAAAATTGGTTATACACCGTGACCAAGTTGTTTTGTTTTTTAGAATATAAGTTGAAATTACTTTTGCAATTAAATCAATGAACCCATTTAACAGAAACAGTTTATGATCATCTCAATAGATGCAAAAAGATAACTTAATAATATTCAACACCCATTTATGACTAAAAGTCTTAGCGCACCAGGAACTGGTGATGTCCTTAAGTTCATAAAGCAAATCTCAGAGATAATGTTCAATTATACAAAGCTTTATCTCTGCAATCAGAAATAAGACCAAAAAAGTTCACAGTCATGGTTTTATTTCAACATTCAATGTTATACTAGAAATTCTAGCCAATTAAATAAGGCAAGAAAAAAATAAATAAAAGGTATAACAACTGGAAAAGAATAAATACAACTATTTGCTGACAACATTGTTGTTTAAGATACAGAATCCTAAATCACCTACAGAAAAAAACTAGTGGCATTAATAGGAGAACTTAGCACGATCCACCTGCCATCGCTCAGCTTGTTATACTAGAACATTTTCCCGTTTTCAGTGGGCATGATATTAAGCTTTGTCCATTAGAGGGCTCTGAATGGATCCTGAAGGATAAAAAGGCTGTTTTTTTGTGTGCTTTGTTTGTTTGTTTGATCCTTTCTGAATCTAGTGTGGTTATTTGGGCAGACATGTGTTGGCCAACAGCATATAGTCCTCACCCCATGCAACTTTTCCCACCACCTGATAGTGGTTCCCAACAGGGTTTGATGGAGAGAGGTGCAGCCTCTCCCTGCAGATGGCTTATTCCAAATCCCCTTTCAGGTAGCTATGCAGTCAGTGCTGAGACACTGAACCTCCTCACCCCCAACCAGGGGATGCTCCTCCTGGCACAAAGAGAATTTTTTCCATTGAGCCCCACCAGTGAGGCATTGGCTAGGTTATCTTCCTTCAGCACAGCACCTCCTAGAGGATGGTCTCCCTTACACTCAGCGGGCGGTGTTGCAATGAGTCCCATTGATGTAGCCCCTTAGTGGACCTTTCCAACATCCAGTGAGACAAGGGCACACCCTCAAATGAGGTCCGCATCTCAGCCCTTTTGTGAGGAGTGACTTTCTCAGATCTGTTCTTTCTTTGAGTGCTTTGCCTCTCAGTCGTCCTAGGCCTACTGTATTCTCCCCATATGTGATCTTTCTATATTCTTTTTGGAAGTCTGGTCACCATTTAGTAATTATTATTAGCCCATTATTGCAATCCCCTATTATGGTTAATAATTCTATTATAGTTAATAATTTATATATATATTCCTAGATATATGTGTGTATATATATATAAATATATGTGCATATATGTGTGTGTGTATGTGTGTGTACATATATACACACAGATATATACATATATGTACATAAACTTTTTCTGTTCAAATTATTGTGTGGTTCCTGTCTCCTGATTTCACCCTGGCAGACACAAATAATATGTCAGATCAAACACACATGAGAAAAAAGTAAAAAAAGTCTTGAAAAAAATTAATGAACACTTAAATTAAAAAAGGGAAATATATTGGATTTCAAGATAAATATTTTGCATATATGATTTTTTTCTCAAATTTATCTGCAGATTCAATGCAATCACAGTCAATATCACAGCATAGTTTTTATGGTAACTGACCTACTGATGTCAAAATGTACATGCAAAAACAAAAGACCAAGAAGAATGGTCAAGGCAATAGTAAAGAATTAGTAAAGACTGTAGGACATAATATTAGACATAAAGACCTTTAATAAAGTATGATTGCTCATTATAATATTGTTGTAAGAGTAGACAACGAGGTTCATGGAACAGGATAGAAAGTCTAGAAAGAGGCCAAGCATGGTGGCTCACGCCTGTAATCCCAGCACTTTGGGAAGCCGAGGTGGGTGGATCGTGAGGTCAGGAGATCGAGACCATCCTGGCTAACATGGTGAAACCCCATACCTACTAAAAATATAAAAAATTAGCCGGGCGTGGTGACGGGTGCCTGTGGTCCCAGCTACTCCGGAGGCTGAGGGCAGGAGAATGGCGTGAACCCGGGAGGCGGAGCTTGCAGTAAGCTGAGATCGCGCCACTGCACTCCAGCCTGGGGGACAGAGCGAGACTACGTCTCAAAAAAAAAAAAAAAAAGATCTAGAAAGAAATCCATACATATAAAGCTAGGTCATTTATGTACAGGTAGTCCTTCAGTAAAGTAGGGAATGTTCTTTTCAATAATTATTGCTGAGGCCATTGATTATCCATATACAAAAGAATGAGTCTTGATCTCTATCCTGAACCATACACAAAATCAGTTCCAAATGGAATACAGAGTTAAGCATACAGATTAAATATTAAAACTTTTATACAAAAACATAGAACTCCTTCAAGGCCGTGTGGTAGGCAGTATTCTTAAGTTACAATACAAAAGCACATAACCATAATGAAAAAGAAAATAAGTAAACTTAACTATATTCAAATTAAATACCTCTGTCCATCAAAAGATATGATTATACGTGTGAATAGGCAAACCGTAGAGCAAGATGAAGGACATACATTTTAATAGCTGTATTCAACAAAGACTGGTTTCCAGGCTATGTACAGAACTCCTGGGGCCTATCAGCTGTTTTATTAGTAAAACATGTGATATCTGGCTGTCTGAGTGGGGAGGAGATGTATCCTTAGGCTGCCTGGAAACATAGAAGTTGGAAGGTCATGGAGGGCCACAGTGAACCTGACAGCAGGAGGTCTGCAGAGCCAAACCAGAGTGACGTCGTTGGGACAGTGGTCTCCAGACTGTTGAACAGAAAAGGAGCTTAACTCCATCCCTACCGAGCTGTCTGTGCAGCAGGAGGAGGGTGAACATTCTCATAAACACTTAATTAAACTCTGCCAGGAATTTAAGAAAAATGTACCTGAGAAAATCAGAGAGATAGATGGCGGCTTTTGTATTGAAAAGCTTCCAAGCCAAGGGCCATCTGCTATTGATTTATTTCGTTGTGAGGTGCCTGGGCTGCAAAGAACAAAACAAAACAAAAACAAAACAGAAAGATGACTAATAATGTTGGGAGTGTGTTTTTGTGGCTTTGTGGTGTTTTTTGTTTGTTTGCTTGTTTGTTTTTTTGGTTTTGGTTTTGGTTTTGGTTTTTCTCAATAGAGGTTCCTATCTACCAGCTCCTGGTCCCATGAGGGACGCTCAGCACATAAGGTTTCTCTGGCAGCTGATCCCTCTGCCCAGCCTGAAGACAGGCATTGAGTTATTTTGTGGAATATCACTTTCTCAGCTGTTTCCTTGCTTGGGTGGTGTGGGCTTCCCTTAGCCTCCTAGAACCCTTAGAGATTAGCCTCTTAGAACCCTTAGAGCTTCCCTTAGCCTCTTAGAACCTCAATTTTCCCTGTCTGTTAAATTGAAATAAAGGCACTCCACATCTTTTCCCCCCGCTACATTTCCATAGGAAAAAAAAGGCAACTGAATAGGAAAGTGGGCAAAAGAGGATATCCAAATGTATAAGATGCATCTAAAAATGCTACTCAACTTCATTTGTCAAATAAAATAGCATACTGCTTAACTAATACTGTGAAATGAAAGGACAGATAATACCTAATTTTGAGAGGATATACCATGAGGACATCTCATTTACTTCCAGTGGGAGTGCAAACTGATGAAAGTACTTTGGAGGCAGCACAGAAGTGTTCACTAAAGCTGAATCTATGCATACTCTATAACTCCAGATTCTAGTCCCAGGTATATATCAAAAAATGTATACATATATTCACAAAATGATATGTGTATTCCCCAAAGGACAAAGTATGTTCATAACACTAATTGCAATAATCCTAAACTAGAAATAGCTATAATTTCCTTCAACAGTAGAACAAATTGCGTATTATCATATATTTATACTGTGGAATGCTCTACAGTAATAAGAATGAATAAAATGCACACATAAAGCATGGATGAAATTTATGAACATAATATTGATTTAAAAAGCCAGACATGAAAGAGTACATAAAATTCCATGTATATGAGATTCAAAAAACATAACAAAGTCCCAAAAGTCTAATCTACCTTCCTAGAAGTTGTATGTAATGATAAGTAGTTGGAGGACTAGGGACAAGAATGACAAAGAGAGGGGAATTTGGATGCTGGTAATGTTCTATTTCTTGATCTGGCGATGATGACAGAATTATGTTGATTTTGTGAAGGCTTATCTAACTGTGTACACATAGGATTTGTGAACTTTTCTATGCGTCCATTATATTCTATAACATTTTTAAAAGGAAACAAGCATAATAATGCATATGAAACAATTATCACAGTGCCAGTGTAAAACAAATTGTCAGTAAGCATTTAGTCCTTGATATGGTTTGGCTGTGTTCCTACCCAAATCTCATCTTCAACTGTAGCTCCCATAATTCTCACATGTGGTGGGAGGGACCTGGTGGCAGATAATTGAATCATGGGGGTGGTTCCCCCCTACTGTTCTTGTGATAGTGAATAAGTCTCATGAGATCCGATGGTTTGATAAGGGGTTTCCCCTTTTGCTTGGCTCTCATTCTCTCTTGTCTGCCACCATGTAAGACATGCCTTTCACCTTCCGCCATGATTGTGAGGCCTCCCCAGCCACATGGAACTGTGAGTCCATTGAACCTTTTTTTCTTTATAAATTACCCAGTCTTAGGTATGTCTTTATCAGTGGCATGAAAATGGACTAATACAGTCCTAGTATTAAAATAATTTTTCAGTGGAGTGATTATTGTTGATTTGAGATGGAGAGCGTAAGCGACAGAGGGCTGCCACTTTGACTTGCCAGTCTCAAGAAGGAAGTAAGGCTGCCTTTCACTTCCTGCACTTTGGTGATTCCTGTAGCTTTAAATCTTGTCTTGATGACTTTTCTTGCCTCTGGAAACAAGGACGATAAGGATATTCACCATCAGAGTGTACAGGAGAGAAGGCTATGAATAGGCCAAACCTGACGTTCTATTCAGTATTATTGCATTTTATTTTGTTTATTTAATAGACTTTGGTTTTTAGAGCAGTTTTAGGTTCATGGAAAAACTGAATGGAAAGTACAGAGTTTCATATACTCACCCTATAGATTTTGGACTTGCCAATCCTGTCAACTGCTGAAAGAGAGAGAGGATTTTTCTATCTTCATCATCTTCATCTGACAACCTGACTAGGTTTCCGGAGGTAACTGTCATCAAAGTATGGGGCCTCCCTAAAGCTGGGTCCCCAGGAATTTTTAATCTCTCAAGCGAGTCCATGCTCAGTCTCCGGGAATTAGTCAATTACCCTGTATATGTTCTCACTAAGGTCTACGAGTGGCTTCCGTTTCCAGAGAGCTGTGATTTCTGTGTTCACCTGTCTTTCTAGATTCGGGGGTGGTGGTTTGCCTTGTGACCTAAATTCTTTAATGGATTTAAAGAGGGCTGTTGGTTTTCAGTTTAGCTTTTTTCTTGTTATGAGGATGGGAGTGATGCCTTCCAGGCTCTCTACATGCTAGATTGGAAACTGGAATGTGCTAGATTTTAACTATGTAATCATATATGTAATATATACACATAGGCACAGAAATGTAAAATGTGCATGTAATAAAACAAAGACCTCCTTTAAAAAATGTGAACCTGTACAATAGGCATAAGTGAATTTTAGCATGCCTTTTACTTTAGATATGTGCAGTCAAATAAATTCCACTTTATAGTCATGTTTACATGATGAATATTTTTTCCTAACACTAAATTACCTCTCCATGTTTAAAATCAAAGCCTTGAAGTGCCAACTGTATTTATTATGCCAGAATGTTAATATGATTTCATATCCTTTGTTCTTCCTAAATCTATTCTTCTTCTTTCCCTGAAACCACTAGCTAAGTGCTCTAGATTGCTAAACTTCCCTGCCATAAAATAAAGTTAGATGCCTGCTGGCTAGACCCTCCCCTACAAATAGAAGTCATATACTTTTCTTGCAAGATCTTCTGCCAACTCTGAAATCAGTGTCCAGCAGCAACTCTACAGCTACTTTCCTTCATATCAAGATCCTTGTGGTGTCTAGGAAGTCACTTCATTCTGATTATGATTCAAAACTCTAAAAACAAAAAATACTGTCTCTGGCCTTTTAGCCCCAGAAAAATGTCTTTATTTTGGGCATCTCAGGCAACTTTGCCTGTCCTGTTGTTTGTGCTATTAAAAATATTTCATTTGTCATTCTGCATTCATACAGATAGATATTTTTGTGTCATGTAGTGACAATGTGGGCACCTTTTAATCTAATTACATTGGCATGCCTCTGATCAAATAAATTAGCACCATCATCCCAACTGCTTCATTTGACAGAAATGAAATACAACCTATCAGTGTGGGTGTTGACTCCCATAACCCTATTCTCTTAATGTGAGGAAGTATTCAATGTGTTTTGGTGTTCACAATTCTTAAGAAATATAGAAAATATTAAGAAATATTTTCTATATTTTTATTTTTGGTGCCCCAAGTAATTTTCTTAGGTCTGTTGTCTATAATATATTCTCTGAAATACAAGTGTCTTTAAAAGGGCAACAGTAGAAAAAGTCACCTGATATTTAACTAGTCTACAGGATATTATGCAAAATTATTGGCAAATGGAATCCTATGACTCTAAACAAGTGATACAGCTGAGCTTAGAATGTAGATTTTAGCATATGTGCGAGATTTTGAATAGATGTATCGTTTTCAAAAAAGGTCAGGGATATAACGTGATTATCACAAGATCTCCATGTAAGTGACTGTGCTTTATTTACACCAATTTAAATCCTTCTCACGTTGAAAAATTTCAATTATCACAAATTCCAAAAGAAAAACAAACTTTGTTTTTATTTACTGGGAAAAACGACAACTAGAACACTATTATTTTCTTACTGTCATTTTAATGTTTACAAATTCAAAACAAAAATAAGGTCATAGCTAGGCATGGTGGCGTGCCCCTGCAGTTCCAGCTACTCGGGAGGCTGAGGCAGGAGGATGGATTAAGCCCAGGAGTTAGAGGCTGCAGTGAGCTATGATTGTGCTACTGCACTCCAGCCTGGGTGACAGAGTGATAACCTGACTCTTAAAAAAAGAAAATAAAAAAAAAAGAAATAATACAGGAAGAATAAAGGAGTAGAATTTTTTTTTAATTTTTCAGGTTTTGTACTGATTGTGAGACCTTTTAAGAAAGAGATTATGGTTTATTCATCTTCTGAATGCCTCCCCCATAGTCCAGTTATAGCAGATAAGAAGCTGTTAACACGTGTGCTAGCTTAATCACTGCATTTGTGTACTTTCTCTGGTCTTATTGAGGGCAAACACAGTAGCCAATTAATGTTCTATTTATACATAGCAGCTATGTGACTGACTTATGTAGAAGTTTAAACTTAAGGCAAGGGGTAAGCACATCCTCTCTCCTCTGTAACCTTTCCCATATCAGCACTTTATTCTGCCTGAGAAGCAGTAAGGATGGGGTTGAAAGTAGGAGCTCTGGAACCATTATCTGGGATCAAGCCACAGCTCTATTATTTAACAGCTCTGTGACCTTGGGTTCATTGCCAATCATTTTTTGTGCCTTTATTTCCGCATCTTTAAAACTAGAGCTTTAGGCCAGGTGCAGTGGCTCATGCCTGTAATCCCAGCACTTTGGGAGGCCAAGGTGGGTGGATCACATGAGGTCAGGAGTTTGAGACCACCCTGGCCAATATGATGAAACCCCGTCTCTACTAAAAATACAAAAAAAATTTAGCTGAGAATGGTGGCAGGCGCCTGCAATCTCAGCTATTTGGGAGGCTAAGGCAGGAGAATCACTTGCACCTGGGAGGCAGAGGTTGCACTGAGCCGAAACAGTGCCATTGCACTCAAGCCTGGGTGACAAGAGCAAAACTCTGTCTCAAAAAATAAAATAAAATAAATAAAATAAAACAAAACTAGAACTTTAATAATATGACCTGCCTTATGTGGTAGTTGTAAAACAATAAATTTTTGCATGGGAATCATTTAGTACTCTGCCTGGCCCATCAAACTACCCATGAACAATTAGCTATTATAAATTCTCATGATGTTAATATGATCATGAATCTCCCAGTTAGCCAAGAACCAAACCTGCATTAACAGTTTATCAACTGAGTATCAGTCATATATAAGTAATTTTACCAGACAACAGAAGAATGAAAAATGCAATTGAACAATAAAAGTGTGAGAAATGTTATGGTATGGAAAATAATAGGAAGCTATGGAAACAGAGCAGAGGTGCCTAATTTGATACAAGGGTCAGGAAGCTATGTCCTCCGAGAACTGCTACCATTAATAAACGTTGAATTTAGTCGAATTATTTTTTGCATCTATTAAAGTGATATTTTTGTTAACTTTTGATATGGTGAATTATAGCAATTGAATTTTAATGTTGAACCATCATGAATTCTCAGAATAAACTAAACTTAGTCAAAGTGTATTGTCCTTTATATTTGTGTGTGTGTGTGTGTGTGTGTGTGTGTGTGTCTATGTGTGTAGCTAAATTTGCTAAAATTTAAAGAAAGTCATGAAGGAGGTTAGTTTGTTTTTTTTTTCCCAACTGTCTTCATACGGTTTTTGTATCATGGTAATGCTCGTCTCATAGAATGAGTTGAGAAGTATTCCTTTTCAGTTTCTTAAAGAGTTGATGCAGAATAACTATTATTTTCTACTTTAATTTTTTTTTTTTACTTTTATTTTTTGAGCTGGAGTCTTGCTCTGTCACCCAGGCTGGAGTGCAGTGGCGCAATCTCCGCTCACTGCAACCTCTGCCTCCTGAGTTCAAGCAATTCTCCTGCCTCAGCCTCCCAAGTAGCTGGGATTACAAGTGCCTGCCACCACTCCCGGCTGATTTTTGTATTTTCAGTAGAGACAGAGTTTCGCCATGTTGGCCAGGCTGGTCTCAAACTCCTGACCTCGGGTAATCCGCCTGCTTCGGCCTCCCAAAGTGCTGGGATTACAGGCATGAGCCATCGAGCCTGGCCTAATATTTAATACTTGATAGAATTAATCAATGAAGCCACCTGGTTCCGAGTCATTCTTGTGGGAAGGTTTTAAACTATAAATTTCATTTATTTCACAGACATAAAGTTCTTCTAATTTGGGTCTTTCAAGGAATTTGTACATTTCATCTAAGTTGTTGAATTTATGGACACAAAGCTATTCATAATATTTCCTTACTAATATTTGTGGAATGAATAAGGATATTACTTTTCTTACTCCTGAGACTGGTAATTTGTGCCTTCTTTTTGTCCTATGAATCTCACTAGACATTTATCAATTTTATTGATCTTCTCAAAAAATAATAGTTTGTTTCATTAACTTTTGTATTAGTTTTCTACTTATTTTTCTGAACTTATTTCCTTTTATTCTATTTATATAGTGTTTAATTTGCTCTTCTTTTTGTGGTTTCTTAGGATGGACAGTTAAGCCATTGATTTGAGATCTTTCTTCTTTTCTAGCATAAGTATGTAGTCATATAAATTTCCAAGTACCGCCTCAGCTTCATCCTCAAAATATTGACATATTGTATTTTCAATTTATAGCTGTTCAAAACATATTTTACTTTCCATTTTGATTTTCTTCTTTAACCTATACGTTATATACTAGTATGCTAGTTTTCAAACATTTAAGTAGTTTCAAGATATTTTTCTGCTATTTGTTTCTAATTTAATTTTATTGTAGTCATAGTGCATACTTGTAGGGCTGAATTATTTTAAATTTATTGAGACTTTATTAATGGCCCAGAATATATCCTACTTTCAAAAGTTATTCATATGCTTTAAAAGAATGCATATTTTGCTGTTGTTGAGTGGGCTGTACTAAAAATATTTATTCCATTTAGTTGATTGGTAGTGTTGTTCAGGTCTTCTATATACTTACTGATTTTTTTTTTCCTTCTTCTTTAATCAGTTAATGAGAAAGAGGTTTTGTAGTCACACAAACTGTAATTGAGAATTCGTCTATTTCTGCTGTCAGTTCCATCAGTGTGCACTTCATGTGTTTGAATTTCTATTATTAGGTACATAAACACTTAGGATTATTATGCCTCTTGATGAAATGATTTTTAAATCATGAAAAATTCCTTTTACCCTAATAATAATGTATTTTCTCTGATATATACATTTTCTGATTAAGTTATTTGGTTTTTATATTTGTAGTAAATCTCTTACAGACAGTATATGGTTGGGACTTGCTTATAAAAAAATATCCAGTCTGAGGATCATTGCCTTTTAACTGGAATATTTAGACCTTTAACATTTAATGTTATTTTTAATATGGTTTGGCTTAAGTCTATTATTTTACTATTTGTTTGTTATTTTTTCGGTAGTCTTTTGGTGCCTTTATTCCTTTTTTATGATTTTATTTAATCTCCTTGGTTTATTAGCTATATTTTTTGATGGTATACATGATTTACTTTCATGTATAGTAAAAGAATTACACAATGCCCATTTCACATCTCTTGATCATTGTGCCATTTTAGTCATACATGCTATTATGACATTTATTATAAACTAAAATATATTGTTATTGCGTTTAAAAACAATTATTTTACACTTATTTTAAGAATGAGAATCATTATAAAAATGTTTACTGACATATTAATCATACCTAGAGTCTTTCTTCCTTTATGTGGATAATCATATTTCTATCTGGTATTATTTTCCTTATGCTAAAGGAATTCCTGTATCTTTTTTTTTTTTTTTGCAGTCCAAACCTAATAAAATTTCAGCTTTTGTGTGTTTGACAGTCTTTATTTCAAATTCATTACTGAAAAATAATTTCATGAATAGAAAATTTTAAGTTGACAGCTTTTTTGTTGTTGTTCAGTAAAGGCGTTATTTTATTCTATTCTGGTTGCATTGGTTGATAACAGAAACATAATAAAAACCATCATATTGCTTTTTATCACTTGTATATAATGTGCCTTTCTTCATTGGCTGCTTTCATGATTTTTTCTTTAAAACTTGTTTTAAGCAATTTCATTAATATACACCTTGGTATTGTTTTCTTCATGTTTCTTTGCTTAGGGCTTATTGACCATCTTGGATCTGTGTATTGGTAGTATTAATTAAACTTGTAAACAATTATTGGGCATTTATTCAATTTTTTCTCCCTTATTTTTTCATACTCAGTTTACATATATTGTAGCCAGTTAAGATGTTCCACAGCTTAAATGATGTTTCATTCATTTTTTAAACATTTTCTGTTCTGTTTAATTTTGGATAGTCTTTCTATTTTGTCTTCAAATTCACTAATCTTTTATTTTCCAATGTTAAATTTCCTATTAATTCCATGTAGTATATTTGTTCATCCCATGCATTGCATTTTTTTCTACAGCAGTTACGTTTAATTATTTTTATAAAGTCTATGTTTCTACTTAACACAATGAATCTTTCTCTACCTTCCAGAACATATAAAATACGAGTACAAAATCTGTTTAGATGTTTTTGTCTACCGAGTGCCATCAATAATATTTTGGGTCAATTTTCTAAACAAAAATTCAAGAACTCTATTTTTGAACATTTTTAAATGTATAGAAAACTGAGCAGAAAGTACAGAGAGTTTCCATATAACTCCTCTCCCCCCACATAAATTCTCCTATTATTAACATCTTGCATTACTGTGATATGTTTAACACAATTGATGAGCAAATACTGATGCACTCTTATGAGTCCATACATTTTATTAGGGTTCACTTTGTGTTGTACATTCTATGGGTTTGACAAATGTATAATGGAATGTATCCACCATTAGACTGTCATATAAGAATAGTTATGTAGTCCTAAAAACCCACCATGCTCCATATATTGATCGCTCCCTCCCCTCAAACCACTGGCATCCACTAAACTATTTAATGTCTCTATAGTTTCGTGGGAGTTTTTTTGCAGGGGTATTATATTGTTGGAATCCTACAGTAAGCAGCCTTTAAGACTGGCTTGTTTCACTTAGTGATATACACTTACTTCCTTCATGTCTTTTCATAGCCTGAGAGCTCATTTCTTGTTAACACTGAATAATATTACATTGTTTAGATGTGCCACAGTTTGTTTATCCATTTACCAACTGAAGGACCTTAGTTGCTTCCAGGTTTTGGCAATTATGAATAAAGCTTCAAAAAACATTTGTATGCATCCTCGTGTGTAGACATGTTCTCAACTCATTTGGGCAAATACCAATGAGCATGAGACTGGATTGTATGGAAAACACGTTTAGTGTAAGAAACTTTCAAAATGTCTTCCAATGTGGTTTACCATTCTGCATTCTCACCAGTGATGAATGAGCTTTATTGCTTCACATCGTCACGAGCATTGGGCGTTGTCTGTCTTTTAGATTTTAGCCATTCTAATATGTATGTAGTCATATTTCATTGTATTAATTTGTATTCATGATGACATATGATATTGAGGATATTTTCAAATGCGTGTTTGCCATCTGTGTATCTTCTCTGGAGTGGTGTCTGGGCAGATGTTTTGCAAATTTTTTTCAGTTGCGTTACTTGGTTTCATATTGTTGAATTTTATGAGTTCTTTGCATATTTTGAATACCAGTCCTTTAAGAGATATGTGGTTTTCAAAGATTTTTAGTATGTGATTTGTCTTTTCATCTCTTTAACAGTTTTTTTTTTCATATAGCAGAACTTTTAAATTCCAATAAGGTTTAACTTTTCATTTTTTTTAAATTCATGGATTATGTTTTCAGTATTATATCTAAAAAGTCATTGCCCTGGAAAGGACACCCTATTCAATAAATGGTACTGGGATAACTGGATAGCCATAGGCAGAAGATTGAATCTAGACCCCTTCTTCACACCATATATAAAAATTAACTCAAGATGTATTAAAGACTTAAATGTAAAGCCCAATCTTATAAAAAGTGTGGAAGACAAACTAGACAATACCATTCTGGACATAGGAATGGGCAAAGATTTCATGATGAGGGCGCACAAATGTGATCTAATTAAACTAAAGAGCTTCTGTACAGCAAAAGGAATTATCAACAGAGTAAACAGACAACCTACAGAATGGGAGAAAATTTTTGCAAAATATGAATCTGACAAAGGTCTAATATCCAGCAACTATAAGGACCTTAAACAAATTTGTAAGAAAAAAACATTAAAAAGTAGGCAAAGGACATGAACAGACACTCTTCTAAAATAAAGATGTATTTGGCCAAAAGCATATGAAAAAAAAGCTCAATATCACTGATCATCAGAGGAATACAAATCAAAAACACAACGGGATACCATCTCACACCAGTCAGAATGGCTATTACTAAAAAGTGAAAAAATAACAGATGCTGGCAAGGTTGTGGAGAAAAAGGAACTCTTATACACTGTTGATGGGAGTGGAAATAGTTTAACCATTGTGGAAATCGGTGTGGCGATTCCTCAAAGACCTCAAAACAGAACTACCATTCCACCCAGCAATCCCATTACTGGGCACATACCCAGAGAAATTTAAATTGTTCTAACATAAAGTCACATGCATGCATATGTTCACTGCAGCACCATTTACAATAGCAATGACATGGAATCAACCCAAATGTTCATCAGTAGTAGACTGGATAAAGAAAATGTGCCAAATATACGTCATGGAATACTGTGCCGCCATAAAAAAAGAGTAACATCATGTCCTTGGCAGGAACATGGATGGAGCTGGAGGCCATTATCCTTAGCAAACACAGGAACAGAAAACCAAATATCACATGTTCTCACTTATAAAATGGGAGCTAAATAATGAGAACACATGGATACATAGAGGGGAATCACAGACACTGGAGCCTAGTGGAAGGTGGATGTTGGGAGGAGGGAAAAGATCAGGAAAAATTACTAATGGGTACTAGCCTTAATACCAGGGTGACGAAATAATCTGTACAACAAATCTTCATGACACAAATTGACCTATGTAACAAACCTGTGCATGTACCCCTGAACTTAAAAAAAAGAAAAGTAATCCAAATAGGAAGTTGCAACAGTAATAGAAAAAAAAGACAAACAAAAACAAAAAACACAGAAATTCTGGGGCTCTCAACAGGTTTTGTGTGTAATCATTAGAAATAATGGTAGAAGTTTATTTTTGTGTTATAATATTTTTCAGTAATTATCATCATAAATAAATAATTATTTAAAATAAGAAGTAATGACATTTTTATTTCCTTTAACATGCCTGGAAATATTTTTCAGTCCATAATAAAGGGCTAACTGTTAATGTTAAATGGCTTCCTTAATTTATATAACCATATTATTAAGTTTAATATAAATAAGTAAAATATGTTTAATAACTTTATTTTAAAAATAAAAAAATCCAAATATAATGTTACCTATATTTTTTCCTGTTATCTTCTAGGCATTTTATTGTTTTGCATTTTCATTTATATCTATAATCCATTTTGAATTAATTTTTGTGAAAGGTGCAAAGTGTGTATTTCACGTGGGTTCCATTT
Source organism: Homo sapiens (assembly GCF_000001405.40). Classification (NCBI taxonomy): domain Eukaryota; kingdom Metazoa; phylum Chordata; class Mammalia; order Primates; family Hominidae; genus Homo; species Homo sapiens. The sequence goes on along the minus strand of NC_000010.11, from coordinate 10,245,722 downwards.
GTTCCATTATCTGTTGAAAATACTATCCTTTATTAAATTGTCTTTGCCTCTTTGTTCAAGATAAGTTGACTATATTTTTTCAGGTCTGTATTGGTTTCATTAATATATTTGTCTATTCTTTTGCCATACCACTCTGTCTTGAATACTGCATATAGTAAGTTTTAAAGTATAGTAGTGTCAGTTTTCTGACTTTTTTCTTCAATATTGTCTTGGCTATTCTAGGACAATTGCTTTCCATAAAAACTTTAGAATCAGTTTGTCAATCCACAAAATAACTTGTAGAGATTTTATTGGGATTGCATTGAATCTATAGCTTAAATTGTAAAGAAGTGATGTCTTATCAATGTCAAGTCTTCCTATCCATAGACATGGAACATATTTGTGTATTTAGTCCTTTGGTTGCTTTTGTGAGAGTTTAGTTGTTTTCCTCATATAGGTCTTTTACATATTTTGTCAGATTTATATATAAATATTTCAATTTTGGTGTTAAAGTAAATGGTGTTGCTTTTCTATTTCCAAAATCCAATTTTTATTGCTGGTATATAGAAAATGAATTGACATTTGTATTTTAATCTCATAGTCTGGAACATTCTTGAATTGCTTTTTGGTTCTAGCAGGTTTTTTTTTTTTTTTTTTTGTCAATTCTTTGAGATTTTCTATTTAGGCAGACATTTTTGTTTTGTTTTGTTCTGTTTTTTTGAGACGGAGTCTCGCTCTTGTCACCCAGACTGGAGGGTAGTGGCATGATCTTTAGGTAGACATTTTATCTGCACACAAAGATTTATATTCTTCTTTCTCAATATATACAATTTTTACATCCTTTTCTCATTACATTACTTGAAACTTCTAGCATAATTTTCAATAGGATAGGTGAGAAGGGACATCCTTGCCTTGTTCCTGATATTAGTGCAAGAGTATCTACTTTCTCATCATTAAGTTTGATGTTAACTATAGGCTTTTTGTAGATGTTCTTTATTAAGCAAGTTACTCTTCGTTCCTAGTTTGCTGAAAAGTTTTATTATAAATTGGTGCTGAATTTTGTCAAATGCATTTTCTGCATCTTTTATGTAATCATATGCTTTTTCTTTTTCCTTCTGTTGATGTGATGGATCACATTAATTAATTTTTGAATGTTGAACTGCCTTTGTGTACTTGGAATGAATTCCTCTCAGTCATGGTGCACAATTCTTTTTATATATTGTTGAATTCAACTTAATAATATGTTGTTGAAAATTTTGCATAGGTTTACGAGAGATATTGATCTATAGTTTTCCTTTCTTTAATAACATTATCTGGTTTTGGTATTAGGATAATGTCAATCTTATACAAGGAATTAGGACACATTTTCTCTGCTTCTATTTTCTGTAACATATTGTAAAGGATTGATAAAACCTCTTCCTTAAAAGTATTATAGAATTAACCAGTGAATCCATCTAAAACTGGTGCTGTTTTGGAAGATTATTAATTATTGATTCAATTTTTAAAATAGATAAGGACGTGTTCAGATCTTCAATTTCATTTTGTGTGAGTTTTGGCAGATCGTGTCTTTCAACAAATTGATCCATTTTATCTAGGTTGTCAATTTATGATCCTAGAGTTGTTAGTAATATTTTTAACTATCTTGTTAATGTCCATTGTATCAGTAGTGATAGTTGCTTTTTATTCTGAAATTAGTAGCTTGTGTCTTCTCTTTTTTATCCTTTCTTTCCCTGCAAAAAGTTTATCAATTTTATTGATTTTTAAAAGTATTTGGTTTAAGTTTCTCCATTACCTGTTTTCAATTTTATTGATTTCTGCTCTTTTTCTATCTTTTCCTTTTGTCTGCTTACTTTAGTGAGCATTAGAATTAAAATTAAATTTGGGTTTAATGTTTTCTTCTTATGGTTTCCCTAGGGTGCAAAATAAGATTATTGATTTTAGATCTTTCTTCTAATAATGCCTTCGATGCTATATATTTCCCCTAAGTATTGCTTTTGATGTGCCATACAAATTTGATGTTTCATTTTCAGTTTTATTTTGTTCAAAATATTTTAAAATTACTCTGGAGATTTATTTGACCTATGTGTTAATTAAAAGTAAGTTGTTTAATCTGCAAATGTTTTGGAATTTTTAAGCTATCTTTCAGGCATCGATTTCTAGCTTAATTGCATCATGGTTTGGGAGAATACTTTTATGATTTCTATTCTTTTGAACTTCTTAAAATGTGTTTTGTGTCCCCAAATGTAGGCAATTTTGGTGAATGTTCCATGGAAGCTTGAGAAGAATGTGTATTCTGCTGTTGGGTGAAGTATTCTCTAAATGTCAATTATATCCAGTTGATTTACGGTGCTGTCGAGTTCAACTGTGTCCTTACTGAATTTCTGTCTGTTGCATTTGTCAGTTACTGATAGAGGGGTATTGAAGTCTCCAAATACAATAGAGGGTTATCTCTTTCCCCTTGCAATTCTATCAGTTTTTGCCTTACATATTTTGACACTCTGTTAGATGCATACACATTAAAGGCTGTTAAGGTTTTTGGAGAGTTGAACCTTTGTCATCATTTAATGCCCCTGTTTTCCTCACAAGCAATTAACCTTGCTCTGAAGTTGGCTTTGCCTAAAATTAAGATAGCTACTCTAACTTTCCTTTGATTAATGTTAACATGGTGCCTCTTTCTCCATCCCTTTTAAAAAATCAAATGGTTCCTTCTTATTTAAAGTACGTCTTTTGTAGACAATGTATAGTTGTGTGTTGTTTTTTACCTACTCTGCTAGTTTTCGTTTTTTAATTAGTTGATTTAGACTATTCAAGTCTAAAGCGCTTATTGATATAGTTGGATTTATATGTACCATATTTGTTACTGTTTTCTCTTTGTTGCTCTTATTCTCTGTTCCTAATTTTTGTCTTTCACCTTTTTCTTACCTTTCATAATTTTACTTGAGCATTTTATATGATTCCATTTATTCTCCCTTGCTAGCATATCAACTATACTTCTTTAAAAAGAGCTTTAGTGGCTACCTTAGAGTTTGCAATATACATTTATAACTAATATAAATCCACTTTGAAATTACTATACATGTCATAGGTACTGCAAGTACTTTTTAACAGAATATTTCCAAGTTCTCTCCTTTCTTTCATACCATTACTGTCATTCATGTTACTTACCCATGAACTGGAGGAGAGTAGAGTGAGATGGCAATTTAGGACTCTGCAGCAATCATCCCTCAACATCAATTTGAACAACTATCCACACATAAAAACATCTTCAAAAGAGCCAAGGAAACTAAGTAGAATGCTACAGTACGTGGTTATAATATAGTAATAAGAAAATATTTATTGATGAGGGTTGAAAGGTCAGTTTTATGTTACCCATATCATTCGTCTCCCAAGACCAAGCAGCACAATGAAGAGAGAGATACTGTCCACTTGGGGGAAAGAGAAGGACATAAACATAATACTTTGCCTTGAACACTAACACTGTGCTACACCAGGCAGACTACTGTGGCTCCTGACTGTAAACTGGTATCTGTGGATTGAGTCTCCAAACCTCCCTTGGCACCAAGTGGGAAAGCACAGCCCCTATGAAGTGGACATATGCAGTCTGCAGTGGCCTTGGACTCTGAACAAACCTCAACAAACAGGCAGACGTCATTGGATATGGGGCTTTGGGCATGCCTCGTCACAGTGATGGGATGGCCTCAGGAGCTATGGGATTATAGCCTGGCAGCCATGCTGACTGAAGTAATCCCAGGCTTAAAGTGTTCCAATGGCGTAGTGCTGTAATCGCCACCATGGTGCTGGGCATAAGGAACATGCCCACTGGCCTACCCAGACCCTCTAAATGGGCTTAACTTTGAAGTGTTTCCAGACAAAGCTAGTCTATAAAGACTGGAGTAAGTACCTACTTCTTCAAATGCACAGGCACTGATGCATGGCAATGAAGATCAAGGACAATTAGGGAAAAATGACATCACCAGACAGATAAAATAAAGCACCAGTACCAGCCCTAAAGAGATGGAGATATATCAACTGCCTGACAAATAACTTAAAATAATTGTTTTAAGAAAGGTTTGTGTACTTCAACAAAATACAGAGAAACAATTAAAAGAAATTAGGAAAACAATAACTGAACACAATGAGAAATTCAACAGAAACATTACAACAGCAGCAGCAACAATAATGATGAACAGAAATCCTGGAGCTAAATAAACAAAATAAAAAATTCGATAGACAGCATCAACAGCGGAATTCATCAAACAGAAGAATCTATGAACCCAGAGAGAGGTTATTGGAAAATACACCATCAGAAGAGGAAAAAAAGAAACAAAAAGAATAAAGAGAAATGAAGCAACTTTCAGGACTTATGGGAAAGTACCCAAAAATCAAATGTTCAAGTCATCACAGGTAAATCAAGAGAAGAAAAAGATAAAGAGATAGAAATCTTATCTAAAAAATTGCAGAAAACTTTCTAAACCTAGAGAAAGATAGAAATATCCAGGTAGAGGAAGGCTGAAAATTTCCAACTGGATTAAACCAAAATAAGACTATTCTAAGACATATTATGGTCCAACTTCTACTTCCGCAGGTTTCACTTTGTTGATTCAACCCAACTGCAGATTAAAAATACTGTTTAAGGCCAGGCGCGGTGGCTTACGCCTGTAATTCCAGCACTTTGGGAGGCCGAGGCGGGTGGATCTTGAGGTCAGGAGATCGAGACCATCCTGGCTAACACAGTGAAACCCCGTCTCTACTAAACATACAAAAAAATTAGCTGGGTGTGGTGGCGGGCGCCTGTAGTCCCAGCTACTCGGGAGGCTGAGGCAGGAGAATGGCGTGAACCCAGGAGGTGGAGCTTGTAGTGAACCAAGATCCTGCCACTGCACTCCAGCCTGGGCGACAAAGCGAGACTCTGTCTCAAAAAAAAAAAAAAAAAATGTTTAAAACACCAATAGAAATTATTACAGAAATAATACAAATAAAAAACATGGTATAAAACTAATTAGATAACATTTACATTTTTATTAGGTATTATAAGTAATCTGGAGATTAATGTATATGGGAGGATGTACATAGTTATATGCAAATATTACATCATTTTATATCAGGGACTTGAGCATCCATAGATTTTGGTATTCAAGGAAGCATACTAGAAATGACCCTCATGGATACCAAGGGATGACTATATAATCAAACTGTCCAAATTCAAAGACAAAGAAAGGGTCTTGAAAGCAGCAAGAAAAAGGAAGCAAAAAACATAGAGGAATTCTAGCGCACTCAGTAGCAGACTTCTCAGCAGAAACTTTACAGCCCAGAAGAGAATGAGGAAATATATTCAAAGTGCTAAAGAAAAAACTGCCAACCAGAAAAACTGTACTCAGCAGAAGTGTTCTTGAGAAATGGAGAGATAAAGACATTTCAGGCAAACAAGAGCTGAGGATGTTTATCACTACCAGTCCTGTCTTAAAAGAAATGCTAAAGGGAGCTCTTCAAGCCAAAAGAAAAGGATGCTAATGAGTAATACTTGTCCATAAGCTGTAATCACTGAACATATTATTTCTGTTATTATTTTGAAAAAACCTTTTAGATCAATAAGAACAATAAAATATTTTATTTTACTTTCATTTATTCCTTCTCTAATGATCTTTTTTCTTTATGCAGATTTGAGTTTCTAACATAGCTTATTTTCTTCTCTCTAAGAAATTTAATAGTTCTTGAAAAGTAAGCCTATTGGTGACAATTTTTACATTTTTGTTTGATTCAGAAGTTCTCCTCTCTAAATAATTTACTTTAACAGTTCTTGAAAAGTAAGTCTATTGGTGACAAATTTCTATTTTTGTTTGGTTCAGAAAGAAATCACCAGATACAGAATTTCAGGTTGTTGGATTTTTCTGTAAAACTAAATATTTCACTGCATTCTCTTTTTGCCTTCATGGTTTCTGAAGAGGCCAGTGCAATTTTTATCCTCGGTCTTCTATAGGTAGTATTCACCACCCTGCTTGGCTTCCTTCAAGATTTTCTCTTCATTTTGGATGTCCAAAATTTAAAGATAATATGCCCAGTTATATATTTTTGGTATTTATCCTGAGTGGTCATCTCTGAATGTCTTCATTTGCAGTTTGGTGTTTGTCATTAATATTAGAAAACTTTCAGCCATTATTCCTTCAAATATTTCTTCTGTTTTCACTCTGTTTCTTCTTTTTCTGGTATTCCTATTTTGACATATACTTAATCAGAATTGTCTCAGAGTTCTTGTATGTTTTATTAAATCTGTCTTTTTCTCTTTGCCTTTCAGTTATGAAATTCATGTTGATGTCTTTTCAAGTTCAGTCATGCTTCTCATTCTTTTTCTCACTCTTTCCAGTTTATTGATGTGACCAACAAAGGCATTATTTCTGTAGTTATGGTTTTTATTTATAGCATTTTCTTTTAATTGTTTATTGAGTCTTCATCTGTCTGATTATATTAAACATATGTTCTTATATAATGTCTACTTTTTCCATTGCACATGTTAGCATACTGATTATACTTATTTTAAAATCTCAGTGTGATAATGCCAAGATATCTGTCATATCTGGGCCTGGTTCTCATGCTTTCTTTGTCTCTTCACACATTGTTTTTGTCTTCAGTATGCCTTGTACTTTTTGTGGAAAGCTGGACATAATTTCCCAGGTAAAATGAATCTAGTACTGGCTTTAGTGGTGGACTTTGTTCCTGGACTTCCGCTCCAGTAATCTGTAAATCTTTGTATTTACCCGTGTCTCCAATATGGGGGCTAAAGTTTGCCTAGTGATTTTCGTTTTCTGCTGAATATAAGGGTTGTTGATTTTCATTTTATTCAGGTTTTTCTTTTTGTGAGTATTAGAGTGACTTCTAAGCTCATTACATGTCGGACCACTAAAGTTCTGGGTCAGTTCTGATTATTTTTCTACGCATTATGTGTCATTTTTTTTTACTTCTTTGCATGCTTATGAATTTTTGAAACTATGGCATAAATTGTGTATTTTTAAATTATTGGGTCCTGGATAATCTCATATTTTAAAAAAATCCTTGAACTTTTTTGTGTAATACCACCAAGTTTCTTGGAAACAGCTTGATATTTGTCTTAGTCTGTTTTGTGTTGCTATGAAAGAATACCTGTGGCAGGGTAATTAATAATGAAAAGAAGTTTATTTGGCTCACAGTTTTGCAGACTGTACAAGAAGTATGGCACTGGCATATGCACCTGGTGAAGGTTTCAGGCTGCTACCACTCACAGTAGCGAAGAAGAGGAAGAGTGTGCAGAGGTCACATGGTGAGAGAGAAAGCAAGGTAGTTAGGGAGTGCCAGACTCTTTAACAATCAGCCCTCAAGGCAACTAGCAGAGTAAGAATTTATGCACCCTTAAGGGAGGGCATTCATCCATTCACGAGAGATTCACCCATGACCCAAACACCTCCCATTGGACTTCACAACCAACATTGGGGATCAAACTGCAACATGAAGATTGACGGAGAAAACTTCCAAAAATATAGCCACCCTTTTGATGCTTGCTTTTAAGCTTTGTTAGATGAACCACAGCAGATGTGAGTTTAGGGCTAATTCTGTCCCACTGCTGAGTCACTATTTTAAAATATAATACCTGATATCCTTTGTATTTTGTCCAGGATAAGCTCTTTGGTGAAAGCCTACTACTTTCAGATGGTTCTTATTCCATCTTAAGATCGTTTCCCTGAACACACACACTGACTGGTACTTAGCAGTACACTTGAGGCTGACTCTTAGTTGATCTCTAGAACTCCTTCAGCTGATCTTTCCTCTCTATGAACATGTCTTGCAATCTCTAGCTGTCTTGGTCTCCCGGAACTCTTGGTTTTATCTCCTCAACAGTGGTGAAAGCAGACATCCTTGTCTTACCCAGTTTTTGTTTGTTTGTTTGTTTGAGATGGAGTCTCGCTCTGTTGCCCAGCCTGGAGTGCAGTGGCACGATCTCGGCTCACTGCAAGCTCCGCCTCCTGGGTTCATGCCATTCTCCTGCCTCAGCCTCCCAAGTAGCTGGGATTACGGGCGCCCGCCACCATGCCTGGCTAATTTTTTGTATTTTTAGTAGAGACGGGGTTTCACCATGTTAGCCAGGAGTCTTATCCAGTTTTTAAAGAGAATGCTTTTATGTTTCACTAATAAACAGGATGTTTGTTGTATATTTTGGGTAGTGATCATGACCTATTCATGTGATTCCTTTCCATTTTGTATTTGTTAGGAAATTTTAGGCTGGGCACAATGGCTCATGCCTGAAATCCCAACACTTGGGAGGCCGAGGCGGGTGGATCACCTGAGGTCAGGAGTTTGAGACCAGCCTGGCCAACATGGCGAAATCTTGTCTCTATTACAAATACAAAAATTAGCTGGGTATGGTGGTGTGCGACTCTAATACCAGCTACTCGAGGGGCTGAGGCAGGAGAATTGCTTGAACCGGGGAGGCAGACATTGTAGTGAGCTGAGATTGCACTCCAACCTGGGCGACAGAGTGAGACTCCATCTCAAAAAAAAAAAAAAAAAAGAGAAATTTTTAATATATATTTATTTATTTTACTTAAGTTCTGATACATGTGCAGAATGTGCAGGTTTGTTACATAGGTTATACATGTCATGTGGTGGTTTGTCATGGTGGTTTGCTGTACCTATCAACCCATCATCTAGGTTTTAAGCCCCGCATGCATTAGGTATTTGTCCTAATGCTCTCCCTCCCCTTGCCTCCCATTCCCTGACAAGCCCCAGTGTGTGTTGTTCCCCTCCCTATGTCCATGTGATCTCATTGGAAAAAAAAAAAATTTTAACGAATTGTGTTTTATTTGCCTGTTTCAATATGATTATATAATTTTACTTCTGAAGTCTCTTAACATTAAACCCTTCCAGTCATCCTTTGATAAACCGTATCTAGTTATGATACACTGTTTTTATTATTTTTACCTTGGTGACTATAAGAATTTCATCATTTTCTCTGCATACCCCATGATGCCTTGAGAATGCCTTGCAAATAATGAATACCAAAGTAATTTAATGAATTAAATCTATTTGAATTCAAATTATTTAAATATCTGAAATAACACATACATTTCAAAATGATTCCTCAAACTCTTCTAGTTCCTATTCATCTTATCTAATTATAGAGTATCTACTATATGTCAGACAGTAAAAAATAATATTTTGAATGAATGAAGCTAAAGAGAGGTAAATATTGTTCATGGAATCACTGAGGCATATACAAGATGGCATCCCAGCTGCTAAGTTTTGGTTCAGCAAATGTAATTTTAATGGGTGAGTTGACTGGGCCTTACTAGAAACTTGCCACTGTGGAATATTTCATCAGTTTTATTGGTGCACATGTGTGGGAATACATGATGAAGCTTTAAGCACTTAACTTTTATATAATGGTGTTATTTCTTTCAGAAGAGCTCAAACATCCCATAGGTTTCAAAGAATGAGTAATTCATTGTGGCACAATATCTTACACATCGACTCTGAAAGTGAAACGTTTTCCTTGTTGATCTATTTCTGTTCCACTTTGGTTTGTTGGCTTGTATCCTAGATCTTTCTATTCTAGAAGATGAGTTTTGTCTTGACACAATCAACCCCACCTTGTTGTTGAATAGTAAAATCTGTCTGAGTTCTTGACTAATTCGTGGAAATGTTGGGAGGTGGTGTAGAGGTTCTGTTTGGGGGGGGCGGTGAGTAAAAGGATTTGCATGAAATGGCATAGATCTCCAAAGAAACCAGGCCTTTAAATTTGCATGGGGTCTATTCTCTGAGCTTGAGCTGAACGCAAGTCATGGAGTAAATCAGTTGGACTGAAGCATATTTAATAAATTAATGGGCACGTGTATACCTATGTAACAAAACTGCACGTTCTGTACATGTAACCCAGAATTTAAAGTATAATAAAAAATAAAACTAAATTAACACATAGTTATATACTTAAAAACTCTCTTTATAAAGCAGGAGTTAAAACTTTTAATTGCAAAGCACTATAAGGTATAATAGAGCTAATTGAAGGCTTATTTCTTGACCAGATCTGTACACAATGCTACCTTATTCGCTTCACTGACTCTTTAAGAACTTCACCACCACCAAGCATAGTATTGCTTCTATGTTACCAACAAAAAACATCAAAATAGGAAAGTTTCAGTATTTGCCCACAATCACAAAAATAAGCATTGACTGAGCTGTGCCTGAAGCAAGATTAGTCTGATTCTAATATACAAATGTAAGTATATAATTACAAAAATAATTTTAAGTACACTTTTGGGCAATAAAAAACTTGATAAAAAACCTTATATTTGACATACGTATTCTTTGGTTTTCAGCAGCCTTGAAGAATTTTCACAATGGAGATGAATGTAATTTCAGCCATTTTACAAATCATGCCCAGGATTTTGTTTTCCTAGTGCCATGTTTCTTGTCGTTTTAAAGCAGTTTTTGCACAATAGTAGCTTAAAGCTATGGCTCTTACATTCTTTTGGCCTCCTTTTGTGCTGCCTGTGAATGCCCCGTTGGCATTCCCTATTTGTTCTTCAATCTACGAAGGTCAACACACTGAGATGACTCCTACAGATCTGAGGCTCACCCTTCATTCTGCAATGAGTCATTTTCTCTGTGTGATTTGTTCATATTTTTATTAAAGAAACTTTTTAAAAGCTGGATAGGCATTTTTTTTCTCCTTTCACTTCTTTGTATTTCAAATGTTTTACTGTAAAATCACACATTTATCCTACTCCACTTACGTAGCTTTCTCTTGGAATCATTCCACTTGAACCCACTTGCCTTCTATATAAACATTCAAGCTTCTTGAGTCTGCCCTTAATAATTAACTTCAGTTATTAATTGATTTCTATGCACTCATTTTTTCCTGTTTTTCCTCAAGTCAATCACTCAGTGCTTTCATAATTTCCCCCCTGTCCAAATTTCTTCTTATGTCTCTTTCTTCATGTAATATGGTCATTGACACAATATATTCTAAATTCTACCCCCAAAACATTAATAAAGTCCTAATTAGACCAAAATCTAAAAGAAAGATAGCTTTCCTCCCTGTATTTTCTTGCTTAGTGTCAGAGATAACAAAAAAAGTAAAATTAATTGCCCAATAATGCATATCTTTGTATCTAAACATATTCAGTTTAACACGATATATATGTGTATGTGTGTACATATGCATAACACATACTTTTCTAATTTCTCTTTAATGTTTAATTCTGCTTTAAAAAATCTTGTGGCTATAACCAACACAACTCAAATGCTAACTCATACTGTATATAACATAATAAATTCTGTTCATATTGACTCAAGATGGTCTTCTTTGAGAAATAAGAAACCAGATGCAGTGAGTTTTACTAGGAAACATCAAGATAATTAGACGTTGTCTATACTCTAAGATACCTTTGATTTCAAAAGAAGACTATGAAAATAAATACAATACTTGGCAGCATACAAATGTCCTAAAGAACTGAGTGAATACATACAAGTCTTTAGGAGAGGAAAGAATTTCAAACAGCAGCAGACATCAGGAAATATTTTATGTAATGGTAAATTTTGGGCTGTACCAAAATGATGCTCTGATTTTGACAAGGAGAAAAAGCATGAGATGTGCAAGAGAGACAAAGGTATCATGTCTGAAAAATATGGAGTATATTTAAAGGACAGGGACCGGAGCCCTATTTAATTGGTACATGTAAGGTAGCGTGGGAGTTAAGTACAAAAAAGTAAGAAAAAATGATCAGAGAAAGCACCTGGAATGAGAGACCCAATTTCTCCTTTTAATTGCTAAATTATAGCTGTGGAGTTTAAAAAAATTGTTGGAAAATTTGAATGAAGGTTTTTGCTGCGTCTTTCCTCCTGGCATTGAAAGACAGGAAGGTTGGTTTTAACCAGAACCAAGAAGGTGAACGCCAGTAATTTTTAACTGAGAGGGAAAATGGAAGCCAACCTTTTTGACACATTCAGGTCTCCCTGAGAGCTGAGCAATCAGAGAAACTGACACATATATGAACGGTGCACCTTAATCTTGGAGTTCAGTATCTTTCTCTTCCCCTGAGCCAGGGAAAAACATATACAAAAGTGGATATCTGTGAATAGAAAAGAGTCTGTCTTTAAACCTGAGTTTAGAATCTCTTGTGTATTTCCAGAATTTAGAACAGGAGGTAACTCAAGAAGAATCTGAAATTACATGTATATAATATTGTGTAACATTATTATGCATTAGACGTGTTTATGATTTATCATTTGGTATTGCTCAAACTATGTACCACTGTGATTTTGTCACCACCTGGTGACAGATTGTTAAAACTTTAGATTTGTTGAATAAGCACAAATTTACAAAATTGTATATAACACTGTAAAATAGCATCACAGATGGAAGTTAAATGGAAGTTAAAATCTGTGGACAAGACATTTCTGTTACCAAGGAAACATGAAAGAAGACGAAGCATAATTTTACATGACATCTTTTCTGCCCTCTTGGATTCTACTTTTTGTTGTTAAATTATCTTCTACTATGATACATTTGCAAGACAAAAGTTGGGGTTACAGAGAAGGAGACATAGGACTTTTTCTTGTATGTAATTAATCATCCATCATAAAGATGGTCTATCCATAAAAGATGGAAGGCAGAACAGAGTAATACAAAAAACAATTTAATTTTGTGGAAAAGAGGAAGAGATCACTATGAGATGAAAAAGCAAATCTTAGCTGAGAAAGTGAGATGTGACCTGGCGCTTGAAGGAGTAGAACATGTTTAGGCCATTTCAAGGGAGTGTGAAGGACAGATGCATCGGTGTGAAGTTGACTATGTGTAATTTGACAAATGTGAGATAACTGAGTAAGTTGAGTAAGCAAGCCTGTTTTTCATATATGTATGTGTGTGTATATATATATATATATTTTTTCTCATCACAAGATATAAATTATAAGACTTCTCCTTTTTTATATTTGTTGTTATATTACCTTTAATGTCAACTGTAGTGTTGTATTAATATATATATTTCATTTCTCTATTTTTATTTTTTAGGCTAGTGAAGTGAAGCAGTGGGAATGAAAAAGGAACAAAGAAATCTGTAACTGGTTGTGATCAATTAGTTGTAAACACCACTGCACTCAGACCAGCTGTGTTTTATATTTATTAGCTACCTGAGCAATATTTGCTAAATTCAAGGAAAAAAAAATGTAGCAAGGGAAAGAAGAAGAAGCAAGCAAGGTCATATTGTAGAGGGTCTGGAATAGCAAAATGAAAAATGTTAACTCATCTATCCTTTTCAAAGAAGAAAAATTTTGGTTTTGGTAATACAGACAGATAGACATGATCGTTACACCTTTCTTCAAGTTTTTAATAGTCATTTGTCAGCCCTAAATAGATAATGTCAATTTGATGGTTATAAGTCACGTTCTCCACTATTTATGTGTTCATTAATATATGTGATTTTGCCAATAATTACATGCAGAAATGCCTTAAATTTCCCATATAGTTGGAAGTTTACTAGAAGAAAGTTATTAATAAAGAGGAGAATCTTGATGAAGCACAGTGGCTGTGCATAAAAATTTTAGGACCAAGGGTGAATACAAATGTTTCCACTCAACAACCCAGCAAGTCAGAATGAAAGTAGCTCTTTCCTTCCTCACCTCTTGAAGTTTCACGCTGTAATACGGTTATGCTGGGTGAAGCTGGGAATAGCAAAAAAAAAAAAAAAAACTTTGCAAGCATTCTCACAGAAGGTCTGGATTCTCATCCTAAGGTTACAAACAGTTAAGTCTCACTGTTATAGTTTGCATTTTGTTAAACAGTAATACTTATTTTATTTTACTAATAAGTAGTACTTATTAATATTAGAGATGACTCTCAAACATCATTCCTTTGTGAGTAGGGCTTTTATTTATTTTTATGAAGACTGAAAAGTTACTAAAACATCTCTAAGCAGTCAACCTTAAACGTTATCAGAGGAAGATTCTACCAGATCTGCTAAATAGAGTGTTCCAGGAAGATGTGATTGCATTGGATTCTGCTCACCTACCCCTTCCTTCTTAGAGGTGGAGAGGATGAAGAAGGTAATTCATACATTTGATACACACTCCATAAGGGCATGTGACATTTGTGAAGTAGAAAAATATTCTGTCAATCAGCCATCAGGTTTCTAAAACACCAGCCTCCCAAGCTAAACACATGAATTCTTTCTGGCATTTTTATTTTCACCAAAACAATTGAAATAGAATTCAAATCACAAAGGGAAGAAAAACTTATTGCTCCCAAAATAAACTTCCCCTTCACCAGAATGTTCTTATGTACCCATTACTTATATATTGAGCATGTGGCAGCCTTTAATAATCTTACTTTACTGTGCCTCAAACCATTCAGTTGAAGCATAGTAGCTTATATTAAAGCCCAGAGACAGTTCAATCCTTATTCTTTTAGAATTATTCTTCCACGGTGATATAAATTAGGAAAAGCTGACCTTTTGTCTTACAAAGTTGGATTCTTAAACTGATTTGGGACATTGGCTTTAAATTAGAGCAAACTGTCTCCTGAAAACAAAATAAAAATGCAACATACACTTTGTGAACTGTGACTAAGTTTTCAGGTTAGCATTACTTAATAGCAGAATTATTAGCACAAACATTAAAACAGGAAAACAAGAGGACAGAGGATAAAGGCCGAAATCTCTCTATTTAAAATCTGAAAAATGTTCACCAAATATGCCTTCATTCTCCCCTTACTCAGCCTAGTGCCCTCCAAATGACCTGAGAAAATGTGTACCTTTACCCTTAAAGATAATAAAGAAAATATTACCCTTTGGGGGAGGGGGTAGGTAGAATAGTCTATTCTTTCATAATGTTTTGCAATTCTTTTTTATATTTGGATCCAGGCTAAAAGAGCTGTCAGTATCAAGGACAGAAAGATGAGTGGCCAAGCCCACGGTGTCCCTCCTCGCTCCCACATAAAGTCCTAAGGGTGCCTTGCATTACTTCCAGTCATATGCAGGTGGGCAAAGCAAGTCATGGCAAAGCCTGGTGACAGTTAAGTTAGGAAGTATTCTCCGGCATGGAGGCACTGCAAGTTCCATGGCCATGGCTAGTGACAAGCATTTCTCTCATACAAATATAATTAGGAAGAACAATACAATCATGTATTATTGTGTTTTGATCATGAAACCAGCAAATAATATGCTACAAAACTAAAGAGAATTCCCATGTGAGACACTTGATTTGACATTTCCTAGAGATCAACAATCGCTAGCAAATGTGAAAATAATTAATATTTGGTATTAGATATTGAGTATATGACATTGAAATCACGTATCATAAAGAAGGTGGTTTTTTAGGTCTAAATGTTCTTAGTGTGAGTCACAGAGTCATTTGCCAAGATAGAACAGTAATATATTTGAATGGACAGGAAAAAGACTAGCTGGCAGCCTAGCAGGCAGTGGTTTTTTTTGACGCCTTCCATGTGCAGAGACCAAGTCAAAAGAAGATTCAGGGCATTTCTATGCCCAAGTTTTGAACAATTCATAGATCTGCCTCTCCAAGCAAGAAACATTTTAATTAAAAAATTAGCTCCTGACTATTAATATAAATGGCAATATCCTCCTAGATTATTATTAAAATTCATATGCTAATTTTAACTCAAAATTAATGAAAAAAAGGAAAAAGGAGTGAAACAATGATTTGTGCAGATAAGGAGATTTCTGTTTCCTATTGAGATTGACACAATGCAAAAAAAAACTGTTATTCAAATTAATGTAGAGCC
The DNA here is from genome assembly GCF_000001405.40 of Homo sapiens. NCBI lineage: Eukaryota > Metazoa > Chordata > Mammalia > Primates > Hominidae > Homo > Homo sapiens. The sequence goes on along the minus strand of NC_000010.11, from coordinate 10,229,980 downwards.
GATACCTCCATTTCTTTTAAAATTTGATTATTAATTTGCTATGACTTTATGTCCATGCCAAAACTCATCTTGTAATTTAATTGCTATTGTAATGGTATTAAGAGGTGATTAGATCATGAGGAATCCATCTTGATGAATGAATTAATGCCTTTATTGAGGGAGTGACTTAGTTATCATGAGAGTTTGGCCTCCTTTTCCTCTCTTGTTCTTTTGCTTGCTCTCTTGCCCTTCTACCATGTTATGAAACAGTAAAAAGACCCTCACCAGATGCCAAGCAGATGCTAGCACTGTGCTCTTGGACTTCCCAGCCTCTAGAACCATGAGCCAAATCAGCTTCTGTTTTTCACAAGTTCCCTAGTGTGTGGTATGCTATTATAACAGCAGAAAGTGGACTATGACATAATTGTTTACATACAACTGTGAGATAGAAGGCTTTCTAGAAAGCTTTGGGTATAACTTTCCAAACTGAGTTTCCATTGTAAAACTTTACCTTCATATATTAATTTAAAACAATTACAAGTAGCAAAGATAATTGGGGCAAAATCCTGAAAAGCATAAATTGTGTAATATATTGAGAAAAAAATAGACCTCTTATAACAATAGTGTGTAAAACATAAAGTCCACCTTTATAAATAGGTACTAATTTAAAAAGTTCAGGAATTGTTCATGAAAATACATTCCATGTATTAAGTCTATATTGTCTAATATATCCTAGCTATATCTTTCTTTAGTATTTAAGAAATAGCCATGGCCATTTTCAAATGAACATTTTACTCTATAAAAACATTCATCTACAGTTTATGCTATGTCACAATTATCATGAAAATAGATTAGCAAAAATTTCCTTTTCTAACAGTAACTGAAAGGAAACTGAATGAGCTGACTTAACATTTAAACTACATGAATTGAAATGTCCATTATGATTATGGGGAAATCCAACAATACTATGAAAACCTGCTGACCCAGAAGTTTGTCTGATTAACTTCCTCCAAGTTAATCCTCCAACAGTTCTTCTAAGACATTCATCTTTTATCTATATAGCTCTGCCCTTGGTCCTTCCCCTCTCCATTTCTGTTGGAAAACACCTAACTATCCAGATTTGTCTTGGTTTTTGTTATCAGTTTGGTCCCTGACCAAAGGAATACAAAAATAATCTTACAGCAGGAAACTGTCCACCAAAACAGTCAGCCAGATTCTTGCCCAGATTGAACTCTAAGTACCTGGTTCATTGTGTTTTGACCTTTATTACATACTTCTTTGATTTCTTTGCCAGTGATAACCATGACCTAGAAGTAATGTCACTGTTCGTTACTGATTTCCATATTCTTTTCAAAATCTGAAATCTGAGCTAGATCTCCATTACAAAATTCTAACTCTCTGATTGGCTTTGGCTGCACAATGCAAGGACAGTTAGTTAATTATTGCCAATATTATTAAACTCTAACACAGATATGCTCACTAAATTTCCACCTGTTATCCACTCTCACCTTCCTCTCACACTACTCTGCCCTCCTCTTTGCTACTAATACTAGTTTTACAGCATGGCACATTTGGTGCATTTCAGTGGGCCCTTCTTATATTTGAGTCTAAATAATCCTTAACTTGGCACATCTGACTTAAATTAAATAGCTGTGGGAATAGCTATGGTCATGAAATATGGCCAGAAATGAAAATAATCTTATAATAATCTCTGAATATATTATTTGACCAATTTAGATTCAACAGCAATTATGAAATATAATAGCCTGTGTCATATTATTTAGAACACCAGCATCTTGATATTCAACATATTCTTAACCTTTCTTTCAGCAACAATATACTTAACATTAATAATTCAAGTGGCATTTCTAAAAAATGTCAAGAGACATATTGAATCATTACCCAGAAGTTGTGTTATGTGTGCTCTTAAACATTTCAGATGAAGAAAGTAAAAAGTTTTAAATTAGGCAGCATTAAAAATTTTAACCATTCTAATGTATAATAGTATGTTAATGAATAAGGCCAATTTTCATTATATGTGGATTAAAATCATGCCTTTTGTTGCATCTATGTATGCAGCTATGATTTCCACAAATGCTACACTTTTAGTAGACCAGAGATTTACTGGGGGAAAAATAGGGAAAAAATTCCACACCATAGAATAATAGTATACATATTTCTTGGAGCCAGAAAGAAGATGTTTTAGGAGATGAGAAGATTAATGATGATACCAGACTATGAGAACTAAATATAAAGAAATGAAATCAAGAACATTCTTAATAAAGAATATATATTTGTTTATGATAATGTGATATACTGGAAAATTTGATGAAGCTCCAATACAAAGCAAAGAGCAATTCTGAATAAATTATAATAAACATTTATTAAGATGCAGATTTAAGCTTATAAAATTAGGGAAATAATATTCTGGGATGAAAAAATAAACAGAGTAGCAAAATGAGTTAAGAAAGAGGTTTTAATGAAAACACTGCATGTCTTGATAACCAGGTAGTTAGCATTTTAATGGCCATGGGGAATAGGAGGTAAGGATTTGGTCCCAGATGCGATGACTGGTTGACATTTAGACTTTCCACAAAAACCCAGGATTTTGAGGCTACATCCTCAATGAGCAGGTAGACTAGAAAAGCTGCCCACCTGTCCAGCAGATAAAGACAACAGGAAGACTTGAGTATCTTGACTTGCTCTCTAGGTAGAAGTCATGTGGTCTGTCATGGGAATGTGTGGTCTTAGTCGTGCTATTACAGAAGTTTCGGGTTCTAATGTGTACAATCTGCAAGTCACAGAAAACTCTGGGCTGGAAATTAACATTATAAAGTGGTCCCAGCCTTACAATTCTCATAATTAATTAGCAGAAGGAAATAAAAACTTTTCATAAGGGGAAAACGTTCAAGCTAGGCCTCACAGTTACTTAAAATTGATCTTACCTAAGAAACAACAAGATTATAACTCAAAAACCCCATGTAATGCAATATGAAGATTATAAATAAATGTTAAATAGCACAGACATAAAGTATTATAATATGAGGAAAAACGATTCACATATCAAATGACCAAATTTATTTCAAAAAAGAAAAAATGACAAGTAATAAAAATTTTAGCTAATAAAATGAAAATGTCAATGGACAGTTAAATAACAGATTTAAAATATTGAAAAAGTTAATGAACTAGAAAAATAGATGAGATGAAATTATCTAGAATGTGTATGGTAACAAAGTTCTAGTATATATAGAAAAAATGTAGGTTTTACTGAAGGAATAGGAATGCTTCTATTTATCAAAACAGTGGGCTGCCTAATGACAATACAGTACACATCTACATGCTTAAATGGCCACAGCTCTAGAGTAAATTTTATCGTTTAAGTTGCTAAGACATTGACAATATTAAATCCAAAACTATCTGATAATCAAAGTTCCTGAAGTACGTTTAACCTCAAGAGATATCTGCTTAATGTAATGATCAATTATCCCTCCAATTTCAATGTATACAGCTAAGATTCAAGAGAGAAATAAGAGCTGAGCAAAGAGACTATTTAAGAAGGAAAAGAGCATTTTTTTTAGGACTTGGGGTCATTATTTCAACCTAGGAGGTAACTTGCAAGGCTTCTCTTGATATCTTGGAGGATGCGTTCATGAAAATACAATTTGGCGAATAGCCATATTAGTGTATGTTAGTATAATGCCACTTAATTTCTTCATGAATAAACATAGAAGATACATATGTTCTTATTTATGGCTGTAATATTGAAGTAGCAAATTTCACATTGCTATTTATAATATATATATATTTTTTAATTTTATTATTATTATACTTTAAGTTTTAGGGTACATGTGCACAACCTGCAGATTTGTTACATATGTATACATGTGCCCTGTTGGTGTGCTGCACCCATTAACTCGTCATTTAGCATTAGGTATATCTCCTAATGCTATCCCTCCCCCCTCCCCCAACCCCACAACAGTCCCAGGTGTGTGATGTTCCCCTTCCTGTGTCCATGTGTTCTCATTGTTCAATTCCCACCTATGAGATATATTTTAAAGGAAGAAAATAAACCGAAGAAAACCTTACTGTTTACCTCGATGGCACAAATTACAAATTCCCTGAGGCGAAGCATCATAGCCATATGGAATTAAAAGAGGATTTAAGTTATTTGTTATACATCTGTGGTAAATGTCGGGGGGTTTTTTGGCATTTATTTGCTGAGCCATACAGGGGTACACATTTCTCTCCTTTAACTTATTTCATTAGACTAGAGTAAGCACTTCTCAAAAATACTGACGAAAAGCTCATAGTTTTTCTTAGGGAATTCAAGACTTTCCTGGCAAGAATTAAAATTGAGTCAAGTTTCTGAGGAAGATTTTAGTTAAAAGGAAACACCCTGACTGACCTCCCCAACCAACAAACGATGCAACCAGTGTTATAATGTGTTCCACAGTCCTTTGCGCAAGCAAACCATTCATTATATTGATAGTACCATGTTATTTGAGGAATTCAGAGCAATGAATCAATGATATGATGATGAACTTTGTGAATTATATCAGTATAAGCGCAAAAACAATTGCAGGGATATTAGATGTCTTGCTACAAAACGCTCTTCTTGGTAAATGTAGTAGAATATAAATGACTCCTATGAAGTGTTGAAAGCTTTACTCTTTCTTCTGCCCTCCCCAAACTGAACTCTGATTGAGTGTGGTTCCTTCTCCTCTCTCACAAGTCATCTTCTCTAGGTTGTGTGCTGTAGTATAGAAAAAAGGGAAAGTATTTGAGGAAAAGTGGTATATTGGACAGGCCTGGGGAAGGAGGATTTCAGTCAGAAGCAAGAGCTGAAATATATAAAGAGGAATTTTAGGATGATTGCTCTAGTTACATAATATCTTCAGAGTGTTTGAAAAACATGGTGAAGGCATTCATTAAATTTCATCAAATCTAAGGGGCCATTGATGAAAAGAAATCACATTGTATATCACTAAAAAAAGCAAAGGCTGCCCTTTAAACTTTTAAAACACACTATTAATAGATTTTAAGAGATGTCTAAACGTGGAAAATGTCCATGAAATTCAGTAAGTTCATTCAAAGTTGCTTTTTGATTATTCCATTGTCTTTCTTTCACAAGGGTGCCATTTTGAAAGTGGGCCACATGGAAACAGGGTCTATTTTCCACAATCCATAATCCTTGATAAGTCCATTCTCCTCAGAAGATGCAGAACTGCAATGGGGAGTGGCAGGATGAACACAGACACCCAGGAGTGCTCAGAAGAAGACACCCAGGAGTGCTCAGAAGAAACAGGAAGGCACAGAAAGGGAAATATTCCCTCAGGAGGGACAGTCAGGACTCTGAAAGAGCCTGATGGGTGGCAGACTTTGTGCCTGAGGATGCAGTGGTAAGGAGCCAGAGGTGATTGGGAGGAACCCTTTGAGGATCTGGTGAGTGGGCAGACACGGGTGAGAGAAGAATCGTCAGGGTTTATGACTTGGAACCCTTTATATCACTCAAGAAAAGAAAATGAATTGGGGAATTCATTTACATTATTTTGTATATGTTGAATCATGCTTTTTAAAATGAGATCTACCTGAATTTGCATTCTGAGATCAGATTACTGCAAAAACATAACCTATTTCCTAGACACGTACACACACACACACACACACACACACACACACACACCCCTATATCCTATTTCTTTGACTTTATCCCAAAGAAAACAAAGAAACCTGGAAATCAAAGATAATTTTATAGTAAATTGTTTGAATTACAGTTTATAAAATACAAATTATACACAGCCCTTTTTTTAAAAAATTAAATGTCCCTTTTTCTATCTCATCAACTTCTCTTTTATACTACAGCTATTTTGAAAAATGGCAACATTTGCAATATAACCCTGTTGGTTTCAGATTCAGCCATGCTGTCACGGCTTAGAATAAAAATATCATTGCACAAGATTATAAAATACAGTGGCAATGGAGCATGACTTATAGGTTATTGTTGGATAATACTATTTCCACAAAATGAAAAGAAAAAAATGGGAGACTGTATTTTATTAGAGCTATATGATATCTGTGTGTTCCATCATGAACTTGGTTGCACTTTAAAATGACATCAAATTAAAAAGTAATAAGAAGAAAGTAGTAATTAGTTGTATTGTGAATGCCAATACAGCGAGAAGTTTAATTTCCTATTTGATCTTGGACAATACAATAGAAGAAAATTTTGTTCACATGCAACAAATCTTCATTAAATGGCCACAGAATACATCCTTAATTCTGGCCAGTCATCTTGCAAATTTGCAAATACCGTTCCAGCTAAAAACAAAACAAAACAAAAACTGGGTTAATTAGCATTAAAATCAGGCTAGTGGGCCACAACTACATTTTTTTAAAAGTAATTTTAAAGGCAAACTTGGGAAAGGGTTTGGGAGAATGCCATGGCGGAAAACAGAAAATGAGCTAAGAAATCTTAATTGCCAGAGTTAGGTCTTCAAGCACCAGCCAAACATCAGGACCAAGAGGAGTAAATGAATGATTAAGTTCATGGGCTCACAGCCTCCACAGTCAGAAACACACAGTGCTAGCAGAAGAAAGAATGCACTCAGTTACATTGCTCATCTGTGCTTGTGTCAGAGGTATGGTGAACCAGAACAAACTCCATCTTGAGTAGGGGCTGGGTAAAATGCAGCCGAGACCTACTGGGCTGCATTCCTGGATGGTTAAGACATTCTAAGTCACAGAATGAGATAGGAGGTCAGCACAAGATACAGGTCATAAAGACCTTGCTTATAAAACAGCTTTCAGTAAAGAAGCTGGCCAAAAACCACCAAAACCAAGATGGCGATGAGATTGACCTCTGGTCGTCCTCACTGCTACACTCCCACTAGCGCCATGACAGTTTACAAATGCCATGGCAACATCAGGAAGTTACCCTATATGGTCTGAAAAGAGAAGGCATGAATAATCCACCCCTTGTTTAGCATACAGTCAAGAAATAACCATAGAAATAGACAACTAGCAGCCCTCTGGGCTTTTCTGTCTATGGAGTAGCCATTTTTTTATTCCTAAACTTTCTTAATAAACTTGCTTTCACTTTACAGACTCACCCTGAATTCTTTCTTATGAGAGATTAAGAACCCTCTCTTGGGATCTGGATCTGGACCCCTTTCCTGTAACACTTGCATGCTAACTCTGACTGCTTTATCCGTGAGAACCCTTAGCATATTAGTCAGAGTTGTTTTAAATCCCTGGTCTGATCATTCCAACATTCCTGTCATATCTGACTTTGGTTCCAATACTTGCTCTGTGATATAGATTGGATAATTGTCCCCACCGAAATCTCATGTGAAAATGTAATCCTCAGCGTTGGAGGTGGGGCCTGGTGGGAGTTGTCTGGATCATGAATGGCTTGGGCCATCCCCTCATTGATACTTGAGCTCTCATTAAAGTGTGTGGCACCTCCTCCCCATCAACTCTCCCACTCTCTCTCTCTCCCTGACTCCTACTTTTGCCATGTGAAATATGTACTCCAGCTCTGCCTTCTGACATGAGCAAAAACTCCCTGAGGCCTCCCCCAGAAGCAGATGCCGCTGTTTCCTATAGTCTGCAGAACCATAAGCCAATTAAACCTCTTTTCTTATAAATGACTCAGTCTCAGGGATCTGTTTACAGCAATGCAAGAATGGCCTAATATGCTCTGTGTACTCAAGCTTTGTTTTTTGCATTTTAGTGTGCCTTGTAATTTTTTCTTTTGATATCCAGACATGATGTACTGGATAAAAGGTATTGCTGTCACAAATAGGCCTTTAGTAATGTGCTGAAAGGGTGTGGGGGAAGAGGAAGTATTCTATAGTCCTGTGATTTGGTCTCAGTATTTTGTGAGACTTTGCCTCTGAAATGTGAATTCAAAAGCACGTCTTGGTTCCTCCCTTTCTCCTTAGGTGGAAGAGAATGGCTAGAGGGGTCTCAAGTTGGGCATCTGTCATCCTACTCTGATAAAACCCCAGCAAGAGAAGCTGTGATTAACTGGTTTCACCTGAGAGCAGGCATTATTAAGAACATAATGCTCTCGAGTATTTCAGTTGTTTCCCTTTCCTTCCTCCTGCATTAATCGTGGAGGTGGGGGGTTTTCTGATGTTCTCCATGAAGACCTGGTAGTACTCCTGGAGGAAAAACTTACAAGTGACTGAGTTTGTAACCCTCAGGCTTGTCCAGTGAGCCTGCAGCAATTTGTCCATTATGGTTCTCATTTCCCTACCCCTGTACTTGTTCCCTTGGAAGTTTCTGCTTGTGGCTTTCTGCTCCATTAAATTACAGTTCTCTGTATTCACCTGTGTCTCTAATTTGAGGGCCAGGGATTTGTCTTCACTGGTGGATCTAAGAAGATTTGGTGATTTTTCAGTTTGTTCAACTTTATATTTTTTTGTTAGGAGTGGCAACTTCCAAGCTCATTATCTGTTAGACCATAAACCAGAAGTCCTCAAAGCCTTTATCCATAAAGGATACATTTTTAAAATGTCGAGAATTTCTACACCAGGCCTGGCTAATTTTTGTATTTAGGGGTTTAGATACAGGGTTTTACCATGTTTCCCAGGCTGGTCTTGAACTCCTGGGCTCAAGCAATCCACCTACATTGGCCTCCCAAAGTGCCATCTCCCATTCTTTCTCAACAGTGTTCTTAAGAACTCCTACCATGTCACCGATGTAAAATAATTTTTGGTGGTAGGAGAAAATGGCTGAGTTAACAACAGTCCATCACTGCTCCTGGAACTAAAAACCAGATGTTTATCTCAAATGAATTGTATCACCTTCATATATTATTTAAAACTATTTGTTACTGCCAAAAGGTAGGTTCAACTGACTTTCAAATCCAACCACGAGACAAATTTCTGGCTTGAAAAAATTTCCTAAACATAGGGAACTATATCTGTGCAACTCATACTCTGGTCTCTGAACTACCATTTACAAATTGAGAAACTTTGTGATAAGATCTCAATTATTTCGTCAACAATCATTTACAATTTATATTGAGAAGCACTGTGTTCAAAGTGCTGAAATAGGCACCTACAATTTTCTACCATTCCTCAGAAAATCTCACTAAAATGACAATAAAGAAATACATAATAAAATGAATGTGTGTTGGCACAGATAATGGAAATAAGAAAGACTAACAGATAAAGTATTTTATTCTTTTCTGTACATTTAAAGTGAATGAGACCAAATTAAGGGATGGATCAAGTAAGAAAAGATTATAGACCAGAGAGGCAAGAAGAGAAACCTGCAATCCACTTTTTTTAAGGAAGAGTTTCAGGGGCAGAAACAAGAATTTTGGAGAGCCCAGTAATCAGCAATCTGACTAAGTAATTGGAGAATTGAACACTTAATGGATAGTATTACTATGCTTTCTCGCATCTTCACCATTACAAAGTGTTTGGAGGAGACTGGGCTGTGTTTGGTCCAGATAAAACTGAAGAATGTATCTGCTCACCAGGAAACAGTATTGCCAGGTGACAGAGAGATTTTAGTGAGGTACCAATAGCTTCCGATTTGCATCCCTCTCATTTTGGCATTGAGTAGGGAGATGCTCCTAAATGTGATATCCTAACATCGTAAGGGTTACTTTCTCCTACATGCCCAAAGCTCAGGTTTAGCTCTCTCAGTCAAAGGAGAGAATGCAATCAATATATGTTGAATTAAGAAATTTGTATCAATGCAAAAAAATCTGAAAAATATATATATATATAATTAATAGTGTAGGCTGGGTGTGGTGGTTCACACCTGTAATCCCAGCACTTTGGGAGGCAGAGGCGGGAAGATCATTTGAGTCCAGGAGTTCAAGACTAGCCTGGGCAACATAATGACACCCTGTTTCTACAAAAAAAAATGAAAATTAGCCGAGCACGGTGGTGTGCGCCCATAGTCCCACCTACTTAGGAGGCTGAGGCTGGAAAATGGCTTAAGGCCATGAGTTTGAAGTTACAGTTATCTCTGCTCACCACTGCATTCCAGCCTGGGCGACAGAGCGAGACTCTATCTCAAAAATAAATAAATAAATGTTTAAAGAGAAAAGTCCACAATAACATGGGCTTCATGTGAGAAGTGTAAGAATAGATCAATGTTGAGAAACACTATAAGATAATGCCCTAGTCAGTCCAGGCTGCTATATCAAAGTACCATAGACTGGGAGGCTTAGAAAATAGAAATGTCTTTCTCAAAGTTGTGGAGGCTAGAGGTTTGAGATCAGGGTGCCAGTATGATTGAGTTTTGGTGAAGACCCTCTTTGGAGTTTTAGACTGGCAACTAACTTCTCATTGTATCTTCCCATGATGGAAAGAGATCAAGAGAGATCTGTGATGTCTCTTTTAAAAAACACTAATCCCATTAATGATGACCTAATCATCACCTTCCAAACACCCCACTTCCTAATCCCGTCACACTGGGTGTTAGGATTTTAACACATGACTTTTAAAAGGATACAAATATTCAATCCATTGCAGAAATAACTAATAGGTCACAAGAGAAAAACATATCATACCAATATATTAATTTTCATTTCTCAAAGAAAAAAATCTAATGAAAGAAAAACAGTCACACTATTAAGATGATTATATAAAACCTAAAGGCAAAGTTATACATAAAAGCATTCACACTGAATTTAAGAACAAGAGAACACCAACTAAAAAAAATCACTTTTAGCACTATTCTGTAATTATAGCTTATGTGATTATGAAATAAATAATATATAACAGATGTAATAAAAATTGTAGAGAATGTACTGTTGAAAATAAAGTATTTTCTCTGTAGGTTGCACGCAGGGTTCTATATATTTTTGTTATATAAAGGTCACTAATCCTCTCATTCAAATTTTCTGTATCCTTAAGAATTTTTTGTGCTGGATTAATTTGTTTCTGTTTGATAGGTATTTAAAAATATCCAAAATGGTGGTAAATTTGACAGTTTTACATTGTATATCTATCAGTTGTGCTTTAAAATTTCTCTTTATGTTGTCGAGTTCATAAAAGTTCATATATTCTTGAAAGTAACTGCTTTCATTATTATATAATTTACTTTCTAATTTAGCCCTAATAATGTGTTTTGAGTTATTATCTATTTGTCTTGATATTAATATTTCTGCCACAGGTATCCTTGGTTTAATGTTTTACTAACTTTTTCTATTTAATATTTGAATTTTATTTTCTGCTGGGTATGACTTTGAAAGCATTTATATTTTACTTTTATTGTTTTATCTAGATTCATTTCTAACTTCTTATTCTATCTTTAGATTACTACCTGTTTTTCTTTGCTTCTTTATTTTCTTCTCTCTTATATTCTGTTGAATTAATAAAATTATTTTTATACTCCAAGCTTTTGCCTCTGTTATCTGAGAAGCTATATACTGCATTTACATTCTCTTAGTACATTAATTTTCAAATACATAAAATATATATTTTTCCTATATATTTGAAATGGTTGTTTAGAAAGGCTTATTTTTCTTAAAATAAAGAAATTTATGTTTTGAATTCTGCTTGACTTTTTCTTTCTCTCATTATTCCCCTTTCCTATCTAAAAATTTGGATATTTCATCTAATTGATTGTCTGTAGCCCCCAGTCAAAAACTAGGTTTTGGAGCCTGTTCTGCGAAGATATGGGGATATCTATACACCTATTCATGAGTACAAGCTACTTTTTCCCAGTTTCTTGTCATCAGAATTTGTCTTTGTTTCCTGGCTTATATAGGCCCAGAGTTCCTCATGAAGTTGCGAACTCATGCAGTTTCAGTTATTCCAGCCTTTCTTGAATATTTTTAAGGACCTGTCCAACCCCTGACTTTAGGCATAGGCCTACATCATATTAGGCCAGTGTCTATCAAACACTTTTAGATCTTGTTCCCTGGTAGGAGCCATGTTCCTGGCTGCGACTTCCTGCATCTCTTATAGATTTAAGGTTTCTGTGCTCTGCGTCTACAGAGATGTTTACCTTGTTCACGTGGCTAGATGTCCTATTGACTATCTCATGCTGATTATATCTGTTATTGTTCTATGTTTATAGTACAGGGAAGAAAAGATATGACAAAACTAAATTCATTGTGTGATATTTAAAACAAGCATTTATTGATTGGTTAATATCATAATATTTCTCACCTTGTAAAATCCTGTAATCTGATAAATTGACCAATCTATGCCCCCTTGCCACAAATTCACAGGTTTTCATCTTTAGGGTCACTTTACTAACACCCAGAAAAAAATCTATTATTTTTCAGAAATAATCAATTATCAATAAAGAATTATAACTGCCATACTCCATGGTAACAGCCCTCTGATTCTTTTAGGAAACACTCTTTAGCAAAAAAAGAGGAGAGCAAAAGAAAAAAAAAAGCTCAAATTCCCAAATGTTGCAAATTTGAAGGACCATCCAGCTTGTTAAAATGGGATCATAGTATTGCTATTCATTTTCCAGACTTGTAATTTTTATTGTCATCACCCTCATTAAAAAGCATATAATTGAGTGTTCCTTTGGTATTTGGCATTGTTCTAGGTGTTGTAGTATTTAGCTAAGGAATTGATGAACAGTGGAAGCAAATCAGTACATGAGGTCTTTCTCTCTCCAAGAAATAGCCAAAATGTACCCAGGGCAGCTTTTTGGAATTCAGATAGCCCAGTACAATATAAAATACTGTCAGTCCCTTCACCTCTGTGGCAATTATTGTAGCCCTATGACAGAACATTTTTCAATGTTGCATTTATTATTTATTGAATAATTAATTCAGTGAATGCTTAGTGAACACCTATTTTGAGACAAACGCTCTACCAGATGGAATGACAATATCAGATTCTCTGATATGCATCACTTTGATCACTCCTAGTATTATGCCTAGCTTAATGGTAAGTGCTCAGTGGATGCTTGTTGAAATTAATGAGTGAATATAATCCTAGCACTTTGGGAGGCTGAGACCGGCAAATTAATTGAGGTTAGGAGCTCAAGACCAGCCTGGCCAACATGGTGAAACCCTGTCTCTACTAAAAATACAAAAATCAGCTGGGTGTGGTGGAACATGCCTGTAATCCCAGCTACTTGGGAAGTTGAGGTAGGAGAATGGCTTGAATCTGGGAGGCAGAAGTTACAGTGAGCCGAGAACATGCCACTGCACTCCAGCCTGGGTGACAAGAGTGAGACTCCATCTGAAACACACGCACACACACACGCACACACACACACACACACAGAAATTAACGAGTGAATCAATAAATGAATATAATTAAGTGCCTTTAAAAGAAAAAACCAATACAAATTCTATATGTAGTTTTATTTTCCTAACCAGTATGCTAACCTCTTACATTTGTAGTGCAAAGTTATCACATGTCCACTGGGATAAATTAATTTACTCATTAACCATTCCATGTCGCTCATACTTTCATAGTTTCCTTCTGCTTAGTGAGTTCCAATCAGAGCAATGTGGACAGAAATAACGTGGTGTGCAGAAGCAGCCACCTACACAAGGCTCAGTATCCCCTTTTCATTTTCTAACCACTAGATTTGTAACAAGGTGGACCTGGAAGCCATGTGATGAAGAAGATGGAACCAGCCAGAGGAGTGAGAAGATCTCCAAATCCCTACTGGGAGGAGTCTCATTTAAGCAGGAAGGCTCACATCTGCCTTTGTTAAGTAAGCCAGAAACAGACTTTTACTGTGCTAAGCAACTGAGGTTTTAGACTTCATCTGGTACAGCTAGCACTGATACCTTCCTAGTAGGTCATTCCTCAAAAACGAGTTCATATGATAGTGTAAGAATTAGGCCATTGATCTCTTCCTTGCAATATGTATATATTGACATCGGGGAAAGGCAAAACTATGGAGGCAGTAAAATGATCAGTGGTTGCCAGGGGTTAGATGTGCGAGAGAGGGATGAGTCATCACTGCATGGAGCATTTTTAGGACAGCGAAACTATCCTGTTTATTACTAGAATAGTAGATACATGTCAAATAAACATTTGCCTAAACCCATAGAATGAACAGCACCAAGAATGAACCCTAATGTAAACTATGAGCTTTGGGTGATAATGATGTGCCAATATAGCATCATTGATTGGAACACATATTTTACTCTGATGTGAGATGTTGTACTGGGGTACACTGTGCATATTGGGGGCAGGAGTATATATGGAAACTCTACTTTCGGCCCAATTTTTCTGTGACACCCAAACTGTTCTAAAACATAAAGTCTTTTTTAAAGTATATATTATTTCATTGTATAGTAACTCAGAATTAAAATCTTTGTATGCCTATTTATTTTTTTTTTCTTATTTTCTTGAAACAAACACCCACTGGAGACTGTATTCCATAGAAAATTCAGAGGAACAGTGCAAATAAAGAAGAGAGATTGACAGTTTCATCGAGTTATGTGCATTGGTCGTTATGTGTTTTATTTTCTTTTAAATAAAACAAAGCAGTACTAATGGGAGAGTCGTAGGGAAGATCTGGTATTGTAACAAGTGTTTTGATGCCAGTTTTGCCACCAAAACAAATTTGAGGACATTTTAGCCATTGAATTGCCTTCATTTCTATCAAGTTTGGTCACTAACTGAAAGAAAACCTGAGGGATGGCGAACTGCTCATTAAACGTAGTATGGTGTTTATTTTCTCTTGGCTTTTGCTCATAGTATTTTTTTTCTGCCTGGAACAACTTTGCCTGCTTTTTCACTTGGTGACTGACTCTTCATTTTGTTTCAGGCAGCATCTTCTCAGCTAACCCTTCAAGATCAAGCTAAGTGACTTTTGCGGACTGAAATTATCTTTTTCTGCCTCTTCTGCCTATCTATTGATGGCAAAGCCTGTGTCTTACTCATCTTTCAATTCCAAGTACCTAACATGATGTTTGCTACTTATACTTGGGTCTTAATAAAATGTATGCATGACTCAAAGAGCTCAAGAAGGGAGAGGAATCCAAGAATGTGAGTAGGAAAGTAAAACAGATCACGTGGCTTTGAAAAGATAAGGCTGGTTTTCTACAGTGGCATGGAGGAGGCAATGCATTTCAGACAGAGGGAAAGGTATACTTAAGGGTGTGCAGGAGGAGAATAAATATGTAAAGAGGCTTTGGGAAACATCGTGTGAATGGGATAAAAGGTATATATATGTTAGTGGGAATGGATAAGTCCAAAAAGGTAGATTATGAGCAGATTGTCGAGATCCTTGAATTGTTTACCAGGTTAGGCCATTTGGCCATCATTGGATTAGAAATGGAGATGTCATTGAACAAGTTTTGAGGAGGAAAGTGGCATCTCTAGTTTCATGATTCTAGGAATTATGTAAGGAGAGATTGTACTTACATGTCAAGAATAAGATTAAAAGGGAGGAAGCATGGGACAGATATCAAAGGGGATAAGTTGCAGGGCTTAGTGATTGATTTTGTTTTTTAATGAAGAGAAGGCAGTCAACAATGACACCAAGTTTCCAATTCTGGACACTCAGAAAATAATTGCCTTGGTGTGTCAGTTGGGAATATGTTCAGCGGCAAGTAACAGGAAACCTAATTTGCAGCAGCTTTAACAACTGGCAGCTTACTTTCCCTTAGTCCAAGAAGTCTGAGTCGAGTGATTTTTGACATTGATTCAGTAGCTGAACAAGGAGAGAGACTCAGAATCTATGTGATTCTCCTGGTCTTTCCTGCTAAGCATAGATGGACGCTGGTGTTAGGCAACCATCTGCATCTGAGACAAGGAGAAGGGAGAAAGGCATTCCAGTAGCACCAACAGTCCTTTTTTAGCAGATACAAAAGAACTTTATCATAATCAATACCTCAGCTGACTTCAACCATGTCTCATTGTCTAAAACTGTATTATCTGGCCATATCTTGCTACATGTGGAGACTGAGTAAGAGAGTTTTAAAAATCTATAGTCTTCAAAGTTTAAAGTAATGATTTAGGAGATAAAAAGAAATTATTTAGGCAGATAGTGAAGGTAAGAGAGTCCTCAGTAAGGTTTTCCTTTTAACGAGAAGCAGCCCCCAAATCATTACTTTTCTAACAAACAGCAGCCTGAAAATTCGAGCGGCAGACAGAGAAAAGCAAGCTGGAAGCTTGCACGCATAATGCCAGAAGCTTTGCCAGTAGGAAAAGGCAACCTGGGGCCTAGACATATTCAACATGATGGCTTCGTCTTCCCTTTTCTTTGTCAACTATGTGTACAGTAAGGAAGAGACAACGTGTTGTCCGGCAGGTAGAGAACCCATCTGGATAATAAAAGATTAGGGTGGAGTGTCCAGCTTCTTCGTATGCTATGTAAATGTCACACCTGGTCTAATCAATCTTTGGGTCCTATGTAAATCAGACACCACCTCCTCCAACCAGTCTGTAAAGCCCCTGTGCACTTCACCATGGACTGGAAGACCCACTGGTGACCCTCTCTCAATGCAGGAGAGAGAGCTATTCTCTTTTCTCTTTCTTTCGCCTATTAAACTTCCACTCTTAAACTCACTTCTTGTGTGTCCTCGTCCTTGATCTCCCTGGCGTGAGATGACAAACCTTGGGTATTTACCCCAGACAATGACGCCGCTTCAGTAGCAGGGAGAAGGGAATTGAAAATGAAAGTTCAGTTAGACAGACCACAGAGTCTACCACAGTTATTTAAGTTTAAATAAGAGATTTGGGTTTAAGATGTTTTCATGGGATGATGATAATTTAAACAGCATGGACTAAGAGATACCTGAGACTCTAACAGGTTAGAGAAAAGCTGACAGGACATCCAGGTATATACTAAAAGTATTTTCTGTAAACTATCCTAGATGTCCCACAAATCAGCTGCATCAGTAGTGACAGCATTCGTCAATTCTCTCTGGGCTTTAGGAAAGAGAGCAGAGTACAGCTAAAGCATTGCTGTGCAATATGAACATAATATGAGTTACATAGGTAAGTTTATATTTCCAAGTAGCCATGTTTTTAAAAAGTTAGAAGGAAAAAATAATTTTACCACTATATTTTATTGAACCAACATATACCAATTGTAGTGATTTCAAGATGTAATCAATATAAAAACAATCATGGTTTTCATTGTTTTTATCTTTTTTTTTGAGATGAAATCTCACTCTTGTTACCCAGGCTGGAGTAAATGGTGCAATCTCATCTCATGGCAACTTCCGCCTCCCGAACTCAAGTGATTCTCCTGCCTCAGCCTCCCAAATAGCTGGGATTATAAGGATGCGCCACCATGCCCAGCTAATTTTTTGTATTTTTAGTAGAGACGGGGTTTCACCACGTTGGCCAGGCTGGTCTCGAACTCCTGACCTTAGGTGATCCAACAGCCTCGGCCTCCCAAAGTGCCAGGATTACAGGCGTGAGCCACCGTGTCTGGCCTGTTTATCTTAAGTTTTCAATATCCTGTATGTATTTCATACTCATAGCATATATCAGTTTGGACTAGCTGTATTCCAAGAACTCATTAAGCACACATGGCTAGTGACTACTGTGTTGGACAGCATAGCTTTAAACTGTTATTTAAAAAATTGTAAGAAAACCAGAGGAAAAGAGAAAATGTTGAGCCATTTCCATACTAAGAAGAAAAAAAAAAGAATGAGAAAGTAGTCTGAATTCTATTTTAAATAAATCCAGTCTTAGCCTTTGTTTCCTATGTATTTCTATCTCACAAGGATAGAGTCGGGACGGTAACAATTTTCTTGATACTTTAAAAGTAGTTCCACAATGGTCTTACTTTGCATATAGTGTTTGGGGAAGGCAGATTGAACAAAACTTTGGAGACCATGATGGTCAGGATGTTTCCAGAATAAGCACTTCTGTTTATCAGGCAACAGGGTTGACTGCCAATAGTGTTCTCTTGGATTACTAGGTGAATTTCAACACTTTAGGCTGAAAATGGATGTAAAGGAGCTTCATTAATACCATGAAGAAAACAATAGAAGCCAGTACATTTCTTTAAAAGTCAGTGGTAGGTGGACCTTAAAGTCTTTGCAGATGGAATTCGATTCATGTTACCTATTAGTTTGCAAGAGATCACCCGCCTTGCTGTCACTGTGTGGGGTTGAAGTTAATATGTCTTTCCTTGCTATACAAATATTAGATGGGGCCACAGAACTAAAATGTAACTGCTCCCTTAGGTAACAGAGCTTTTCCCTAACCACAACCCCAGTGTTTTCATGGAGCCTTCAGAATACCATGATTAGGACACCTAGAGAGCAGACCCTGAGGGTGCATTTGGCTGGATCTAGGTCTCAGCATTCCTAGAGGTGGTAGGCATTGTTTATTAACTGATGAGGACAGACTAGCTGTGAGACAAAAATCTATCTGGAAATCATCAGACATATCCTTCTGGGGCCATTGTTTCTTTCTTCTTTTAGAAAAACCTGACCTTTCCTTCAAAAGTCATCCAAAAATATCACCTCCTCTGTGAAGCCCTCCCTGATTTCTCCAAGCAAAAGTCTTTATTCCCTCTACACTCTCTATTTTTCCACCATGACTATAATATCAAATGGATTTTAATCAAATATCTGCTTATAAAATTCTGAAAAGTATAATCTTCAAAAGAGCTTTTTCAGTTATTTTCCTTGGACTGAGAACTATGTCTGATCAATTGTAGGCACTAAACTTCTATTGAATATTGGTATAATTTTCCTGCTTCTATCTAACTTCATAGGTTACAACAGGGAATATCAGGATTTTTACTAATAAAATAGGGAGAAATTATCTTTCCTACTACCTTTACAGAGGAAGGTTACAAATGGAGTGAAATATCTATTCACATAGACATTGTTTAAAATATTAAAATTGCTTCAGCTCCTAACAATTACTCACTTAAGTAAAATGTTGCTATATCATATAATAATACCATATACATTGTGCTTATTGCATGCCAGATATAGTTATAAACACTTGCATGTTTTAATCCTCTAATTCCCCCACCACCACTTTGAGGTAGTTTCTATTATTATCATGTCTATTTCGTCCTTTAGAAAATTGCGACACGGAGGGTTCAAGGGACCTTCCTAAGGTACTGAACAACAGAGCTAGACTCATAGTGAGCATCTGTACAAGCGCTTAGCCACTGTCTCATTTCACCTTTCTCTTAGCTTAATGGAATGGTGGGCAGGTGCTCCACTTCCCAATACCCACACTACAAGAGCTTCTAGCCCTTTATCTCATCACCACTGAAGTAGACCTCCTGAGAAACTCTCTAAATCTGCTCCTCAAACTCAGCAAATGTGGAAGAGACTCTAGAATTCCAAACCCAGCAAAGCAGGTTTTTGATCAACTCATGGAGGAAAATTCAGATATATCTCAGGAAAACAGGGACTTAAAAATACATATGAAGGCCAGGTGCAGTGGCTCACACCTGTAATCCCAGCACTTTGGGAGGCCGAGGTGGGTGGATCACCTCAGGTCAGGAGTTTGAGACCAGCCTGACCAACATGGAGAAACCCCATATCTACTAAAAATACAAAACTAGGCGTGGTGGCGCATGCCTGTAATCCCAGCTACTCGGGAGGCTGAAGCAGAAGAATCGCTTGAACCTGGGAGGCAGAGGTTGCAGTGAGCCTAGATCGCGCCATTGCACTCCAGCCTGGGCAACAAGAGCAAAAAACTCCATCTCAAAACAAAAAACAAAAAACAAAAACAAAAACATATGAGAGAGAATGAAATGAAGAGACTTCCAGGGTGGGTATGGCTGTGCCTGAAAGCTATTTTACTGAGAGTAAAGTAGCTAAGGTAAGTCACTGTCTCCTTGAAGAATCTGTTGTGAGACTACAGTTGACACCAAGAAGCTTGAGTTTTGTTTGTGTTTCTGCAGCAAGTTGAACACATTTTTAAATTGCCATTTGTTTGGTGGAAAAGATGTATAATCATAGAATACTAATGCTGGATGTGACCTTAGCTTTAAGTTGAACAGCTTCATCATAAAGAGTCTATGCCTAGAGGGACAATGTATCTTTTCATGTCCATTTAGGTTTTTATTTTTATAATAACAGCATGTGGTAGAAATTTACAGTATCTCTGGGCCTCACCATTTTGAAAACTTTGCAGTATGCAAATTAACTGCAACAATACCTCCCTTTTTTTGTTCTACTGAAATGGCCATTTGATGCATCTGCAATGAATTTGATGATTTTAATTAAATAAAGATTTATAAATATTAGGAGCAGATCCAGGGTGAGTAGAGGTCTCAGGTCTCCATGGAGCCAATCGGAGTGGGGTAGGGAGGGGCACAAGAGAGCTTTGCCCTCAGTGTGACTGATATTTATCCCAGAAATATTGCTATAGTTCCATCTTTATAATCAGTCTTCTGAGATCATGTGAATTTCGAGATAAAAATATTCTATACCATCTGTGAGAGACGTGTTGTCCTTTAGAAATCTCAAGTGATATAGGCTTGCCTGTCAAATGAATGATATAAAGATGCCTAATTGGCACAGGAAAACTGTCCTTCTCGTAAATTTTCTCCCCTGGCTTGAGTACATATGCTCAGAACCCAGCCATATGTGTCTTCTGCCTTTCTCTGCCTTAGCAGTCCTTGAGACTTTGAGATTTCTGCTTGGATGGCGCACAGTTCCTGTTCCTTATCAAACTGGCAGCTGAGCCCCAGCTGCTGTCCCCTTCAAGCAAAACCAGAGCTGCTTGCATCGACTCACCCCTCTTCTCAGGCAAACCAGTCAGCCAGAGCTGATCAGGAGTTTCATACAGTGACATCAGGGGTGATGTTGCAATCACTGAGAAGGCAAAGCAGTAAGAATGGAGATGATTTTCTGTAGCACTAACAAAAAAAGAAGGAATGATGATGGGAAGTCTCCCCGTGCCAAAGCTAAAAATGTCAGTGATCAGAAGCAGCTTTCAAAAGGCATTGCCAGCATTCTGAGCCCTGGCTTCCTATACACTGGCAAAGACACATCCAGAATGGAAGTCTGAAATATTTACCTGATTCTAGTCAATATACAACAGTTCTCTGAGAGGGGAAAAACCTAGAAAAATATTTCCCTCATACTTCACAGGGAAGGTATATATATATATATACTTTTTTAAAAAATAGAATCCAGCATTTAGACATGATATGCATCAAAATTAAACTTTATCTCAGAATCATGTGGTGGTTCCCACCAACATCACCATGAAGACAATTGAGAGGTCATTTCTTGGAACTCCAAGAGCAGGAATATGAATACAATGACCCCGGAGATTATTTTATACAATATTCTGCAGTTCAGAATGTAAAGTGACTTTCCCAAGGTCATAAAATTAAGATAATGGCAGAAATGAAAGGAGTCTTTATGTTTTATGACCTCAGCTCTGCGGGATTGGACAATTTATTTCTACCTTATGGTCAAGCTGACAATACAAAGCCAGAATATAATTGCTTCGAACAGAAATGACCATTGAATTACTGACATGTGTGTGCATAAACTGTATTTTATGCCATTTTAGACACAGGATATGGGAATTGCCTTCTCTAGGTACTCCTTAAAACCTTGTCTCATGTCCAAGAATTCCTGAGACTTGCCTTTTAGGATGTTTGCATGTTTTTTGGCCCTTTCAGAGACATTGGGAAACGTCTTCAACTCCCTAAGACAAAAGATAAAAACCCCAGTGATTAACATTTGTAACACTGCCCAGTTCATGTCAAATGCATATATCAGAGAGGCACGCAGAGTTCATCATTCCAACAAAAATTGCCATAAATCAGTGTATGCTGCAATGACGATTTACTCAGTAGGACCTTGATACCACATAAAATGTGTAGTCTGATTGGCCAGAAAGTGGTGCCTGCAGAAAAATCCACATGCGTTGAGAATAAGACTTAGAATTGATGTGGTCTTTTCTATTTTCAAAATCTCTCAGAATCACGCACTATTTAGATTCAGGCTGAGCTCCGGCACTGACGCCCTATGCTGAGCACTCTGCTGGGAAGAATGCATGCCAGTAATAATACACACTGGAGTTACGGGAGGTCCTGCATCCCAGCTCAGTCCAGGCCTCTGATTCCATTGGAATCTCTGCCAACTCCAAACCTACACTTTGATTAATTTATTTATTCCTTACGTACCAATTGACCTCTGATAGGTACAAGTCACTATTCTTGATGCTGGGGATTGAATGGTGCAAGAAAAATGAATAAGTCATAGACAAAGTCTTTGAACTTGTGACACTTATATGCTACATGGGAAGGGCAGGTAATAAGCATTAAAACACCTAAATGACATCATTTTCAAGGGTGATAAGTGATGCAAAAAAAGAGAACTGAGTAATGGGGTAAAGCATGTTTGGTGAAGCTGGGAGAAGGCAGCCAGAATCTTTACATACGGGAGTTGAGAAAGGCCACTTTGAGGAAGTGGCATTTAAGGTGCGGCCTACATGATTAGGAAAAGCCAGCCAAATATAAGATCTGGGGAAGAGTGGGGGTCTTAAGAAGAAAAGGAGCTTGGAATGTCCCAAGTAAAGAAGGAGAGTGGCCGCCATGGCTGACTCAGAGAATGAAGATGCGGTAAACACTGGCCAGTTTTTGGCAGCTCTCTTCCCAATGTTTAGAGAATTTCTCACCTTACGTAGTCTGGTGGGAAGCAGAATGTGTCTCCTGATATAGAAACTAATAACTTAATTGTTTTGCTTTTGAAACTTCTCTATGTCAGCGCCAAATAACCTGGTGCACAGAAGGCCCTGAGCATGAGTCCTAGGCCAGACCAATTGGATATACTTTGAAACTGGAACTAGAAATATAAGGCAACAAGATCTCATCATGGTAGGGGCCACTAAGCATCTAAGCTAAGAGCATCTGCAAAGTAACCTCTGGTTTCCTGGGCATGGGGACAGCAGCATATATGTCCCCACAAAACAGGATCTATATGTTATTTTCAGTACGAGTAGCTCTGTTTTATCCAATTTTCTCTGCCTGTTTCTTCAGCATTCCCAGTAAGCGTATGAACACCCTAACAGCTCTTTCAAGCATTTATTTGCTACTTGAACCATCTATAGTCAGTTCATTTGCTAGCAAAAATCCTTTTTTAGATTGACATAAAAATTGGTTCCAGGGGTGGTCACACATAACAAATTATGGAGGGTATCTGGAATTGGTTAGAGCTGAAGGTAATAAACATCAGCTAGTCTTGGGGAATATGACCTTGGCACTTCATAGCAAGCAGCAGTGAAGAAACTAATTTAATTATCACCTGTGGTCACCTAAAATGGAGTGCCCATTGAAAGCAAAGCATTGGAGAAGTCAGCGGAGTTGCACAAAGGGATGAGGGGATTCAAGGATTATGAATCTGGGGGACCATTTCCAACAATGCTGGGAAAGCTAATGGAAAAAGACTGCCATGGCAAAGTTCCTAAATTCTCCAAAGAAGTTATAGACTGCTTGTCTGTGATTGTGCTATAGTTGTGTGTGTATATGTATATATATATATATATACATATACACACACACACACACACCATATATATATATATATATATATATATATATATATATATATATATATATATATATGGTGTGTGTGTGTGTGTGTGTGTGTCCAAAGAATCTTTCATTTCTTGCAGCATGAAGGTTAAGATATTTTTCTTTTTACTGCATCAGAAAGACTGATTAATAGATTTCATGATTATATGCTAACTTAAATTTATAGTCTCATAAGGTCTTCCCTGAGAATTAAGACATTTACAAAAAAAGTATGACTTTAAAAAATTGGAATGATATCTTAAGGAAACCTTGGAAAATTTAGAATTTCCTGAACTACACCTGTCCCTACCCTTTATTGCACCGAAACACTCATTAATTCTTTGTGTCAAGTGAAGCAGCATTGCTTCTCTTTTATGAAGTGACTGACTGACCTTTCCAGAGACCTAGAAATGACCTTGTCCATGGGGACCTGCAAGAGGAAGCCAATTCTCCTTGTGGTCTATCATCAACCTTGATTGTTTCAAAACGTGATTAGAAACAGATCCCAGCATGCATGCCCCAGAAGTTAAAGGAAGTGCAAATTTCACCTTGGGAGGACAAAGCCAACAAAACCCTCAAGTTATAAAAGTTTCCACTTTTTTAACTTCTATAAAAGTCTAGGGGAATACATGAGGAAACAGACTGAAACAAAGAGAGAGAAAAACATTGTTTTGCATCAGGAGATTTTTGACTCAGCATTGTGACTGGTGTAGGTAGAGCTGATTCTACATTTTTGCATGATTAGTTGAATGAACTTGGACTTAAGAGTGGTTGTTTGTGTTTCTAAGGGGTCCCCTGTAAAATAGTTCTGGATTCTCTGGCCAGTTGAAGAATAACCTCAGAAAGAAAGCAAGGGTAAAGGTGAAAAAAAAAAAAATCACCTCTCCAGATAGGTGGCCTACTGTTAGAGACCCTTAGAAAAACATAATTTTAAGTCTATTACGTTTGCTAATAATAAATCCCAGACTTGGGATGCTTTTTTATATATTCACAAGTATTGGATCAGGGTAGGCTTCCAAAAGCTACCTGCCATTCACACTTCCTATCTAGGCTAAACATCAATAATATGAAACTAGAATTCTACTAATTTTTGCCATGGTACTCAAAATCTAGCTATATAAATTAGCAAAAATAGCAAGTATTTTTTTACCTTCTTAATGTTCAAAAGGCTTATATACTTTCCTTTCTCTACAATGGAATTATTGCCTAACCACTGACATACTAAGAACAGAGAAGTGGGAACAGCCCATCCAGTTTTGAGCAATAAAAAATGCATTAAGAAGATTATGTAAAACAATAAAACTTACTAAAAGGTGGTCTGTTTGGTATCATCACCATTTATCATCAATTCTAAACAGTGTCAGTGATAAACTATTCCATTTAGTAAAATTGTTTGGAGTCTAGGTACTAAACTAAAATTGCAAATGCAGTATTTTAATAATATATAATATAAGTTTTAAATTAGCAAATTTGTATTTATTCTTCAACAAATATTCTGTTTTGCCTAGAAATTAATTCTGAATATCCCCATGTATACAGTCAGTCCCTGACAGATGCAGACTAATCTACATACATATGTTTCAAAAGCAAATCTGTATACCTGAAATACAAGGATGGTTTGACATAGGCAATCAATAAATGCAATATATCATATTAAAAATGAAGAATAAAAACCACACAATCATCTCCATAGGTGCAGAGAAAGCATTTCATAAGAGTCAACATCCTTTCATAAAACTTCTAATGTTAGGTATAGAAATAAGTACCTCAACACAATAAAAGCCATATACAACAAGCCCATAGCTAACAACATATTGAATGGTGAAAAGTTGAAAGCTTTTCCTCTAAGATGAGGAATAAGACAAGGATGCCCACTTTCACCACTACACTTTAACATAGTACTAGAAATACTAGCCAGAGCAATTAGGCAAGAAAAGTAAATAAAAGACATCCAAATAGAACAGGAACAAGTGAAATGATCTTGCTGACAACTTAATTTTATATATAGAAAACCTTAAAGATTTCACCAAAATACAGGTAAAACTGCTAAACTCAATAAAGTTGCGGGATATAAAATCAACATACAAAAGGTGGCAGCATTTCTATGCACTAACAATTGACTATTTAAAAATCGCATTTAAAATAGCATCAAAAGATAAAATAAAATACTTAGAAGTAAATTTAAAACTAGGAGGTAAAAGACCTGTATACTGAGAACTTTAAAACACTGATGAAAGAAATTTAATACAATACAAATAAATGGAAATATATCCCATGATCATTTATTGGAAGAATTAACATTGTTAAAATGTTCATACTTCCCAAAGTGATCTACAGATTCAAGGTAACCTCTATCACAATTCTAATAATACTGTTCACATAAATAAAAATAAAAGGATTCTAAAATTTATAGAGAATTACAAAAGACCCTAAATATAATAACAAAGGGAATTTTCATTTCTTTTAAGCAAAAAGCAAACAAATCAAAGCTGAGGTCATTGTGCTACTTTATTTCAAAATATATTACAAAGCTATAGTAATCAAAACAGTGTGGTACTGGCACAAAAACAGACACATAGGCCAATAGAACAGAAAAGAAAGCCCAGAAATAAACCCACATATTTATAGTCAATTGATTTTTTACAAAGGTGCCAACAACATACAATCTGGAAAGGATAGTCTCTTCAACAAATGGTGTTAGGAAAATGAAATCTCCACATGAAGAAAAATGAAATTAGACCCTTATTTCACACCATATAAAAAAATAAAACCATAATAAATTAAAGACTTGCATGTATAACATGAAAATATAAAACTATTAGAAGAAAACCTCCATGACATAGGCCTGAGCAATGATTTCTTTGATAGAATCCCAAAGCAAAAATAGACAAATGGGATTGTATCAAACATCAACAGACTGAAGAGACAATCCACAGATTGGGAGAAGATATTTGCAAACCATTCGTCTGAAAACGGACTAATATCCAAAATATATAAGGAACTCAATTCAATAGCAAGAAAACAACCAATTAAAAATGGACAAAGAACCTGAACAGAGGTTTCCCCAAAATAGAAAAATAGCTAACAGCTATATAAAAAAATGCTCAACATTTGTAATCATCAGCAAAATGCAAATTAAAATCACAGTGAGATATCACCTCTCATCTGTTAGAATGGCTATTATCAGAAAGGTGATAGATAACAAATGCTGGTGAGAATGTAGAGGAAAAGGAACTCTAGTATACTGTTGGTGGAATGTAAATTGGTACAGCCATTTTGGGAAACTTTCATATGGAAGTTCCTCAAAATACTAAAAATAGAACTACCACATGATCCAGCAATCCCAATCTGGGGTATACAGGGGAAAGAAATCAGTATGTCAAAAAGATATCTGTGCTTTCATGTTAACTGCAGCACTATTCACCATAGCCAAGATATGGAAGCAACCTAAGTGTCCATCAACAGATTGATAAAGAAAATGTGGTATATATGCGCAGTGGAATATCTTAAAAAAGAAGGTAATCCTGTCATTTGTTACAATATAGATGGACCTAGAAGACATGAGGTTAAGTAAAATAATCCAGTCACAAAAAGGCAATTACTGCGTGATCTTACATTTCTGTGGAATCTAGAAAAGTCAAACTCTTAAAAGTAGAGGACAGAAATGTGGATACCAGAGGTTGGGGAGGGGAGAGAAGTGTCTTCAAAGAGTACAAAGTTTTAGATAGAGAGGAGGAGTAAGTTTTAGTTATCTATTTCACAGCATGCTGAGCAAAGTTAATAATAATATATTGTATATGTCAAAATTGCTAAGAGAGTAGATTTTAAATGTTTTCACCACGCATAAAAAATGGTAAACAGGTGAGATGAAGGATATGTTAATTAGCTGGATGAAATCATTCCACAATGCGTATACATATCAACATGTAACATTGTACCCCCTAAAGATATACAATTATCATTTGTCAATTATTTTTTTAAAGCAAGCCTGTAAACGTTTGCAACTGTTTGAGCTTGTTTCTGGTGCTATTTATATTCCCAGCCCTTCCAGTAGATTAGAATAAACAGTGACGATGCCTTGATTGCAAAGACAAAGAGAGTAATTTCAGTTTCTTCAATTTTGTGTACACAATTCCTGAAGTTTCCATTTGCGTTTAAGATTTTAAAGAATGAAGAGAGAGTACCCACTGAGAGTTGAAATATTTTTGACTGGTAAGTTCAAATTTTAGTTCATATATGAAATATCTTACTGAATTTAAATAATATCTTTAAATATAAATGTATTCTTTCTTTGGATTGGTGAATTGTTTTACAACTAGAGAACAATGAAAACAATTATTACTATTACATGATTTTTTCTTAAAACAGTTTCATCATGTAGAGGAGATGTTAACAAAAGATCTGCTTTGGGTACCAAATATACTGGTTTTAAGCCTGTGTCCTTTGAGAAAACAAAGGTGGTTAGCACAGGCCATCTTCACCTCGAGGTCCCATCTCAGAAGGAAGGGTTATGACCCATGTAGCCATCTTTTCTTGATAGGCCACATTTTTCTGGGCAAAGCCTCTAAGACCACCCACCCACCTGTGCCCTTTTAAATTCAGATCACCTGCCTTTTGGCTCTGATCAGTGGCCTTTGCTTTGCAGAGGTCCAAATGTTTTTGCTTAGATCTTTTCTTGTACAGAAGTAAGCAGTGACTTGTGTAGTACTAACTATAACCAGCACTTGGGTCAAAATACCCATGGCTGATTGAGAGTCTTATACACAAACTATGGCAGTTTTACATCAACTGTACAACTCTAAGAACCTGTCTGACTCAATGTAAGTCTATACACGCCCTGATCAAAATACCCTGGTCGCAACCAGGTACAAGCCCCCATCATGAAACCTGGCGCCACCAAAACTGTATCCCATTAACCCAAGTTGCATTCTTTTTAAAAATGTCTCAATGAAGGCAACATTGCAAAATTTGTTGGAATATGATTGAAGAAATAGTCCAAATATCCACCGAGAAAGGGGTGGTGGAATGGATTTATCATATTATATCCCACCACTCACCTGAGACTAGCCTATGGCCTCTGAGGGAACCAGAAAGATGGGACCATTCCAATCTTGAGAAATACCCAGGGCAAGTGAAGGTAGTGAGCCAGCCCTCGTAGCTGTATCTAGGAGCTCAGAGCTGCTGTTGAATGGGAACCCTTGCTGATGAAGGGGCTCCTGATTTTCAGAGGGGATGGCAGGATCCCAGGCTGCTGGAGACCAACATTTGGCATTTAGCTGGCAGAGGCACAGTGTGTGTAATAACCATAACAGGACACAGCCTAGCACTTCCCCACCTATGACTGCATTCCCATGGATCCCTAGGGTCACATAAGTGCATAGCACCATTGTCTTTCTTCTACCAAATTTGTACAATGAGAAAAGTTCAGGCCAGCCCAAGAGCAGCCTGGTTGAAGAAACCTTATTGAAGTCACAACTCCTCACTTCACTCTGACCTCAATCAATTTACAAACCCAGGACAGAAGAGAGGGAGGTATTTGGTAACTTCTAGTAAAGACTCTGTGAAAGCTGTGACCGACACCCAGGATAACAGTGTACCGGTAAGAAGGAAACATCCAGCCAGAGCTCTTAGTGTGTCCCTGAGCGAATGGTAATTTCTGGGGATCTAGAATGCCACCAAGATCTACTTGTTAGGGTGAATGTAAGGGATGAAAAGTTGGTTTTCCTCATCCCTTGTTAGGCTTATGGCTGAGGTCTCTATAACAAAAGATAGACTAGCAAAAGGGAAACACAGAGATTTGTTTCATATGTTTTACATGCCACAGAAGACTTCATAAGGAAATTAACCCAAAGAAACAGGAAAACCTGTATATTTTTATGGTAAATCTGATGAAAAAGCAGGCAGGCATGCAGAAGTATGATTGTACTAAGGGGGTATGATCTAATGGTACAAAGCTGGGGGACTTATCAATGTCCGTTTGTTTAGATTCTTCTCTGTGTCCCTGTGTTTTCAGAGATAAGGACACTCCCTGTCTCTGGATACACGGAAAGCATCTCTCACATAGGTGCTTATAACTTGCTTCAGGGGAGAAGGAGCTAGGGGAAGGTGTTTTCTGCTGTTTTCTCAAATGACAAGGCACCATATTTTGGGGTGCCATGTCCTGAACCTTATCATGAGACTCAAGGGAGTCATTTGGTAAACAAAAGCTGAGCTAAAGTCAACCTCACAATAGGCTCAGGCTTATCTCAAACCCATTCCATGTTTGTTTCCTGAATTTGTGTAGAGTTGGAAAGGCTGCCTTCAGGAGTTGACAGATTACCTGTGTTGGCTTTTTGCTTTCTCCGTCAAAGAGTTATGTTAGGAAAAGACAAGGACACACACAACACCTGTTGCTGAGAGAACTTCTGAAGACAATGCCCTATTTTGGTCTCGATGGCGGCAAAAGTAGGTAACACCATCACAACCCCTTTTGTCTCTAGTTTGGTTGTTGCAGAAGATGGGTAGATTTAGAATGACAGAGAATTACGGTTCACTTAATCAGATCATGATTCTAATCTGAGGTTTTTTTTTATTACAGTAAATCGAGGAAGGCCCTGAATTCAGTATGCATCCTCACGTCAGTAAGGCCAAGCTTTGCTGCCAAATGAGTTACTAAACTTAATTTGCAGATTTTAAAAATTTTTATGATTGCAGGGAAAAACTCTTTCCCAGTTTACCCGATTATCTGGTTATTTCTTCTCATCTTTGCTCAAAAATATTACCTCCTACCTATGACTTAAATGTTGCCACCTTCCAGCACTAAATTATAAATCCATTTCTCTTCTAGCTCAATGCACTCCTGCTGGGTATTTTTATCCATTCCTCTGGATTAAATTTCTGTCTGACTGCCAGTGAATTCCAAGTGTGTATCTCCTGTCTAGGTATCTTCCATGAACACTAGTTCCAGATACCTAAGGGAATTCCACTCAGCTCCACTGCAGACAGTTCAACCTCATCATATTCAGAATTAAAGCTGCAATATTCCACTCCAGACCTGCCTTATCTCAACAAACAATACATAGATTTCACACCAAAACAATTCCTTCAGCCAGAACATAGGGAGTCATGGCTGCTTGTTCAGGATCAAGAAGCCCAGGATTTCGATGTCTGCTTTGCTTCTGCATTTAGAATTGAGAGAGATCTTGTGCAAGTCACTTAACATTTTGAGCATAAATTACCTCAGCTATAAAATGAGATATTTTAAAATAAAAGGTCTGTGTTTAACATCTAGCTCTAGTACTTACAAAGTATGTGACTTTTACCACTTTTTAATTTGTAAAATGGTGATGATAAGGACACAAGACCCACACAATTTTTAGGAAAAAAAAAGAAACCCAAAAAACAAAAACAAAGATGATAAAGTCCATGAATGCATTTTGTAAAATGTAAAGTACTATACAAATGCTTGCTTGCTATTATAATCAATAAGTCTCTAAATTTTTGTAAGCTCTAATACTCTGCTTCTACCGGGACAGAGAGCATCAACCTCAGTTATCAATCCTGAGCAGAATATCCCCCGTAGATACGACAGACAACTGGCTAATGTTATAAAAATCTGGAAGTGGGAAGGCATCTGTTCTCAATGACAAACTTCTTGAAGAGGTCACACCTAGTGAGCTCCTCATAAGAGGCTATGACCATTTGGGCCAGAAGGAGAGTGTCTTTGGGTCTCGAGGTTTTCCAGCCCCAGCTGTGAAGGCTTTGTTTGGATCCAACTCAATTCATCACCAGCTCCCTGGGAAATGATCAGAGGCATTTTTGAAAGTCAAATGTGCAAGAAGAGAGGTCCCCGAGCAGGGTAACATCCTTCATCTACCCTCCTTCCTCCTTCTTACGGCTTTCAAATAGCATGGCAATTCCTTTTTATTTCCTTAAAGTCTTTCTTTTCATCTCCAGCACGTCTAACTCTTGTGTCATTATAATTTCACTTATTTCTATAAAAGAAACCTGACAGCTACAGAACATTTGAGGGAAGGGTGGAAGGAGGGTGGGCATGAGGGGGAGTGGAGAAACAGGCAGAGAGGGAAAAAGAGATCTGTGCATGGCTGGGAGTCCTCAGAGAACCCCTTTGTGTGACACTTTCAGGAAGGCCCGCATCTCAGCCATGTGGCAGCTCTGGGCATTATTTTCTGACGACATCTAGAGTATTCGTAGAAAATGGGATGAAATCATTGCAGCTCAGACAGCAGGGAGGTCAACTAATGTCCCCCATATCAACTACACACTTGCTTCATTTACAGAGATGCTTAAAATGATGCCAGGCGCCTATGTCTCCACCTGTGTTCACTGCAACCCATACTGTGCGTTCTTGTTACAGGCAGTAAGTTCTTACTAATTTATTCATTCATTGATTTCTCTCCTAATTCCAAACAGTAAACTGAAAGGTGCTATGGACTGCAAGTCTGTGTCCCCTCAAAACTTCATATAATGAGACCCTAAGCCCCAGTGTGATGATGTTAGCAGGCGGGGCCCTTGGGAAGTGAAGAGGTCAGGAAGGTAGAACCCTCATGAATGGAATGAGTGCCTAAAAGGCCTGACAGCTTCTTCTTCTCTTCCTCTATTGGCCATGCGAGGATACAAGAATTTTCCAGTCTGCAACCTGGAAGAGGGTCCTCACCAGAACCCAACCATGCTGGTAACTTGATTTGGGACTTCCAGCCTCCAGAACTGTGAGACACACATTGTTGTTGTTTACAAGCCCCTCGGTCTATGCTACTTTGTTATAATAGTTTGAACTAAGACAAAAAGATACACATTTCTACTGCTTTTTACATAACCTATCTTCTCTAAAAAAGGATTTCTAACATGGCAGTTTTCTCAAATTGTCTGAGAAAATGAGTTGTCTTCCTATGGAAATAAAGAACAAAGAACAGGAAAAAAGATGTGCTGTCGTGACGATATATTCCACTGTGTCAGCAAGTTTTAGAGTCTTCAGATTCTCTGGGATCCTATCATTTAAATTCTAGCACAATATTGCTTATATATGAATTGTTTGTTGAATTTTTTTGCAGGCTTAGTAGGTTGTAGATTAAATGCAACCTTGTTTTGATCACCATGATTGACACGATCCAAAATGTGAGGTAAAATTTTAAAATAAAATCTATCTCACGGTGAATTATCAAATATTTGAGATAGGTATTAAAAGTAAAATCTAGATAACTGTATTAATATTTGTGATACTATTATTAATGTAGCATAAGTTTTCCCTATGTTTAGAAGTAAAATAGAAACAAGTTCACATATGTGTTTTGATTATTCATTAATTTGTTTCTTGCCTAATTCCAAAGAGCAAACTGAAGAGTGCTATGGACTAAAATTCTGTGTCCCCTCAAAAATTCAATATACTGAAACCTGAACCCACAATGTGATGGTATCAAGAAGTGAGGCCCTTGGGAGGTGATTAGGAATTTATCTACAACTCATGGTTTCTCTGTAACTTTTACTAAATTCCATTGAGTCATCTAAAGATAAACTCTCTTGATTGAATAAAATATTTTCTTTCACAACTTTCATTTCCTTAGAGCTGTCACTAATCTTTTTTTTTTTTAAATACATTTTGGAGTGGGCAGAAGGTGGGGTTTTGACAGCTACCAACAGGAGGCTGGCAGTGGTCCTTATGCGTGGGAATAAGTAAGATGATACGAATGACGGATCTTCCGCCTCCAAAGGATTTAATAAGGATAATGTGATCCTTTCATACATTTTATATTGTTATTCTTTCCAAAAGGAAAAGACTATGCAGGTTCAGATTGGTAACATGTAAAATCACTCTTTCCCCCGCCCCCTAACTTGTCTTTGTGAATCTTATCTATACTTTTGTCTCCTCAGTTCTTTTAAAAATCATAATTGGTGTGATTATCTTTGCTATGAGAATAATTAGGCATTGCTTTTTGACACTCTAAATTGGGAATACAGAATTTCAAGCAGGGGGCATAGAACAGCAATAACTGTTCCACTTTGAAACTGAAAAGGGCTCTGCCAATTGGATTCAGGTACAATGATTCTTTTGTGGTTTTTACCGCATGGGATAGAGGGAAGAAATGAAGCAGTTCACATTTCACATGAGACATTGAAGGGAAATCTTTTTAATGGGTTAATTGCGTGTTATGACCGATAAATAAAAAGAAAGTGAGAGACCCGTATATTGAGAATTTGATTTTTCTTCATGAACTCATTACATTGCCTCAGAAAATGACTGTATTGTTTTTAAAATTCAGACAAGAAGGCTATAATCATAATATTAGACATCTACATTTGCATTATCCACTCTCCCTTCTACCATTAGAATGTTCTAATATTTGAATGAAATGGGATTTTTGTTCTGATTATAAGTTGAGGAAGCTCTGAAATTTCTAGAAGGAAAACACATTCATTTACATAATCACAGGGTTGTATTTTATGTTTATTTTGGTAATCAATGGTAGTCAATTTTATTTTTCCAATATTTTGTTCAGCTTTTTTATCTCAGTTTTAAGATGATCCAAGAACATTGTGAAAATAATCAAACAATGAAGGAAATATAAAGGCAAAAATAGAATTTACCTGAAATTTTTTCTTCCAGAAATTAATTGTGGTTAATATCCTTCCATAAATATGTAATATCAATGAGGTAATACTATGTATGATTAACTGTTTTTAAATATATAATATATGTAACACAGAGAATACAAGCTGTTTTTGTATTCAACAATGAATGATGGTTAATAGGTACTAATAGATTTACAGTCACTAAAAATAACATGTTATTCCATCATAATAATATGCCGTAATTTATTTAACCAATCTTCTATTACTGGATACTTAATGTTTGATCTTATGAACAATCCTTAAGGAAACATATTCAGCATGCAGGGAAATTTTCTGATTATCTAACTCAAGTTTGACCATGGACTTTAAGAGCTACATGAAAATTTAGAGAAGATCTAATCCAAAAAATGTGCAAGAGCTCAATATATTTCCTCAAGGTGACAAACTCAACTAGCAACAGAGCCACAACTATCTATTTACTGGGTGCATAGGGTAAGCTTCATATCGTGATCGGTGTTGTGGCAAAATGTAAATTCCAAGGCAAGAACCCCACACTTGCCTATTGGAACCTACCAAAGCTGTAGCAGGTAAATTCTGAGGCACGTAAAATGTGCTTATTATGTGGTTATTAAATCAGAAAATATCACTTGATACCAGAACTTTTCCAAGAGCATCCTAACTTCTCATTCAGCTAAATCTCTTACTATATCTATTGAATATTCATCCTGCTATTAGTTATAAGTCTGAGAATCAAAGTTCTTTCTGTCATAACTTTGTATAAAACCTTTATCTTTGCACCTACATCTGAACCTTGAACCATGCCAGTTACAAAATTAGCATAGCTTCCTGATTGAGAAATGGGTGAACAAAGAGTTTAGATACAACTCAATAGAAAACTGGAAACTGTTATCTTTATTGACTAGATTACTAGTGAGTTAGAACTAGTTTGCTCTCTGAGGTCACAAGTGTGATGGTTTACAAGGTCAAAATAGAAATGGTCTTAAAGGGCTAAGTAAAACATAGACACCTCAATGTGGCGAGGAAAGGCCAGCTCAAAGAGATAGTTTGGGGCATGACTGGGAGGACCCAAGCACTGGGTGTGCTGGGACTTCCACGGGAATAAAGAAGAAGGAAGAGTTTTAAACATTACAGTGTTGATTCTGGGCACCTGAAATATAAGGGACCCCTTCCTTTTTATTTCACAAATTACAAAAGCTGAAGAGGGAAAGTGCTTAGAGAGAAAGGAGAGAATTTCATTTTAGATTTGTGGAATCTGATTCCATGCATTTTTTTTTTGAAGTAGCTCTATTTCAACTTGTTCATTAGGTAAAAAATGTCCTGACTTGTTCAGCTTATGGAGGTAGGATAATATGAGACTCTTATGCAACCTGAAATTATAATATCATCTGCAATTCCAAGACTTGATTATTTAGGGACTATCAACAATAGAAAGAAATGCTTGTATTCCTGTAAATAAACACACTCTTAGACTGTTGGCTATTTCATAAATATTCACAATCTATCTTTAATAATTTATCTTAACATTTTACTGATGATATGACTGTTGCTTACTAATCTATATAGTGGAGATTACATGTGATATCACATACAATGTGTTTAGAACTGTATCTACAGCAATCAACTGTAGCAATACATTGTAACTGCTTGTAAATCCACTCAACAAACATTTACTGAGCACCTATTTTGAAACAAGTGAGCATATATAGTAAGTGCTGAGTATAGTATAGCTACTTTTGAATTCCATTTCTCCTCTAACAACAAAATCCTTCAATTTCTCCTTTCCCTCTCATTATTTCTTCATTTTGTCTTATATGTGACTTTGACTTGAACTCTAAGAAAGAAAGCACTTTCCAGCCTCAGGGCCTTACACCTACTTCCCTGTCGGCCTGAACTGCTTTTCCTCAGACATCCACAGGGCTTGCTCTCTCCTACTTATCAGGTTTCTGTCCACAGGTCACCACCATAGAGAGGACTTGTCTAACCACCCTATCAAAGTAGCAGCGTACTCCTCCTACCATCACCCAGCACACCGATTCCTTCGTATTGGCTTAGTGTTTTTGTTGTTGTTATGGCATTTTTACCACCTGGCTATATATACATATAGTCAGGGCAGGGGCAATAAACAATTATAATTATATATATAAATATAAAAGATACATAGATACAAAGATAGATATTATATATAAATAACGTAATTATGTACAATTATTAATATATAATATATACTATATAAATTTGTAACACTACAAATTTATATATTATAGCTATATTTATATATAATACATATATTATAATATACATATATAATATATAATACATATAATATATGTATAGCATACATAAACTATATAGTATAGATATATAATTATATATTATTTATAATATTTGTAATATAAATTTATATATAATTATAACTATATATGATACATTATATGTGTATGTATTATACATATATAGTTATAATTATATATAAATTTAAATTACAAATATTATATAGTATATATCATTATAGTATATAATAGTATATATAGTATTATATATACTACATATTATATACAATTACATATACATTATTATACATAATATATTATATTATATATACTACATATATTTTTATTATACATATATTATATATTATATATAATACATATATGTATATATGTATATATGTATATTATACCTATATACATATATATGTATATATATGTATATACCTATACATATATTATATATGTGTATATATATGTATATATATACACATATATAATATATGTATATTATACCTATTACATATGTATACATATATGTGTATATTATATGTGTACTATATTACATAACATATAATTATACATACATATAATTTTACATGTGTTATATGTATAATAATTATAGTTATATGTATAATAATTATAGTTATATATGATTTATAATTTATATATAACTATATATGATTTATAATTTATATATAATTTATGTATGTATACAATTATACATATAAATATCCTTGTTTATTGCCCTGACCCTTCTCCCACCTAGAACATGAACTTTATCTATTGTTTGCCTGGCACCCAGCACCTAGCAGTAAGTAAACACTCAGCAATTATCTGCTGGATGAATGAATAAGGGAGAAGAACAAGAATGAAAGTCATCTATTAAATTTGTAATATGTCAGGCAGCATGCTAAGGACTTTGTGTACTGTTTCATGAACACTCAGAATTAGTCTATGATACAGGCTAATTATTATTGCCTTTTCCAAATTTAAAAATTGACTATTACAGAACCAGAAAGCATGGGAGGGTAGTCCCTACCACTGGTCAGGAGGCAAGAGTGAATTCCCACAGTGGGTCAGTTCTTAATCCCAACTCTAAGAACTCCATATCATTTGTGCAAGTTTGATTTCCAGGGAGAGATGCACCACCGTCCCTTGGTATGCTTTTTGTTTAAGTCTACACAAACACTCCTAATGTGATTTGGCTTGAATTATGTACTTGTTAGTCAATTG
Source organism: Homo sapiens (assembly GCF_000001405.40). NCBI lineage: Eukaryota > Metazoa > Chordata > Mammalia > Primates > Hominidae > Homo > Homo sapiens. Next base: position 10,192,481 of record NC_000010.11, on the reverse strand, counting down.
GTACTTTTACATTTCATCTGGTGCACTGCCACATAAATGACCCTGTCTTATTCAACACAAGATTATGTACTAGCCTGACTGCCCTTTTAAATTAAACATTACAAAATCAATACAGTATCATTAAGGGTACACTGCCTGAAGGGGGCGGGGGAACATCTTAAGCAAAACCCTTTTGAAGTTTTTTCTGGGTAGGGTTTGTGGGTTGGGTGGAAATTTGATGTTTAGAGCTACCAGCTTACATAGGCTGTGTTTTTATTTCTCCCTACACTATTTTGACACTTTGATGAATCACCCCAGTCTGGCAAACAGTGGGTTTGACGTGAATATCACAGCTTCTCCTATGATCATAGAGACATCCATTAAATGTGCATATCAGTGTGTTTTTATATATGTGTATATGTGTGTATAGATACCAAGATAGATGATAGATACACACATACACACATATATAGATACATAGATACATACATACATACATACATAGAAAGATAGATGGATAGGAAGGCTTTATGTCAATGTTCCTGTTACTAAATCATCTAATCTAAAATAGTGTGTGTTTGAGAAACAGCCTAAGTGATTCACTCTTAGTAAATGCCAAAGTAACCAAAAATATGGAAGCAAATGCAAAGGTGGAAGAAGAAAAAGGGAAACAAAACACGAGAAAACCCAAACCTGTTTTACAACTGAGATCAAGATAAATTATAGACGTGATATGCTTCTATAAAACAAAACGTCCTGAACTGGAGTCTCCTTTTTTCATGCAGAAGTTTCTTTGCTAGTGTAGGAGTAAGAGGGGCGGCTCTTCCTCAGAAGTTTTAGATATTTGACTTTATGTCTATATTGGGAGGCAGATTTCTGGTTAAGTCAATTTTCTATTAAAATTTATTCTAGTGAAAAACCCTCCTGGGGCATATCGTGCCACCCAACAGGTCTGATCAGACAGCTTCTCAGAATTCTTTGTCTAGTTGAAAAAGCATTGGATACCAGTCAGTAGCAGAATTGAGACTGTGATCTAATCTTATTACTCTGTGTCCCTGAAAATCACTTAGGCTCTTTCTCAAATGCACACTATTTTAGATTAGATGATTTAGAAACAGAAACATTGACATAAAGCCTCCCTACCACCCATTCATCCATCCATCCATCCATCCATCCATCCATCTACCTACCTATCTATCTATACACACACACAAATAAAAACACCCCTATATGCATACATATATATGAGAGGTACATATATATGTATGTGTTTATATATAGGCATGCATGCATACATGGATATACATGTACAGGTATGCATGTATTGTGAATAGCAGGCTATATGCTGTTATTCCCGGTTCTATGACACCATCATACACTAATTTCTTTCTCCTAATTCTGGAACTCTGTTTATATGATTGCTCCCAAGAATTGGGTCCAGGTGAGGAAAGAGATCATAATATGAAAGGACAAGATGAGGGAAATAAGTTAACAAAAGCTTTTGAAGAAGTAAAGTATTGTGAGTTGCCAGACAGCAAATAAATTAAATTTTGGTTTGACATAATTTACAAATAATCACCAACACCAACAAAGATACTATAACTAACCAAGGTCAAAATGTGTAATGAACAAGTATGAAAAACCTAGAGGCTGGGTGTAGTGGCTCACACCTATAATCTCAGCACTTTAGGAGGCTGGGATTGGAAGATTTCTTGAGTCCAGGAGTTCGAGACCAGTTCAGACAACAAATCAGTACTCCATCTCTACAAAAAATGAAGACTGAAAGATCACTGAACACAGCAGCAAGCGCCTGTAGTCCCAGCTACTTGAAATGCTCAGACAGGAGGATTGCTTGAGCCCAGGAATTTGAGGCTGCAGTAAGCTATGATTGCACCACTGTACTATAGCCTGAGTGACAGAACAAGACACTGTCTCAAAATAAATATATAGGTATATCTCCAGAACACATAAGAAACTTAGCAAAAATAAATAAAAAATAAATAAATAGCCTGATTTAAAAATGGGCAAAAGGTCTTAACAGACATTTCTCAAAAGAAGACATGCAAATGGCTGCCAGGTGTATTTTTAAACTGCTCAACGTTGCTAATCATCAGGAAAATCAAAACCAAAACCAAAATGATGAAACATCTCACTCCAGTTAGAATGGCTGCTATCAAAAAGACAAAGGAAAACAAGTGCTGGCAACGATGTGTAGAGAAGGGAACACTTACACACTTTTGCTGGGATTGGAAATTAATAGAACAATTTTGAAAAACATGAAAATTCCTCAACAAATTAGAAACAGGACCGAGCACGGTGGCTCACTCCTCTCATCCCAGTGCTTTGGAAAGCTGAGGCTGGAGGATTGTTTGAAGCCAAGAGTTTGAGACCAGCATGGGCAATATAAGAAGACCCTGTCTCTACAAAAAAAATTAAAAAATTTGACTGAATAAATAAAAACCAAGACCCTGTCTCTACAAAAAATAATAATGAAAATAATAATAATTAGCCAGGTATGGTGGTGTGTGCTTGTATTCTCAGCTGTAATACTTGGGAGGCTGAGGTGGGAGTATCACATGAGCCCAGGAGTTCAAGGTTACGGTGAACTATGATCATGTTACTGCATTTTAGCCTGGGCAACAGGGTGAGACCCTGTCTCTTAAAAAAGAAATTAGAAATAGAACTACCATATAATCCAGCAATCCCACTCCTGGGTACAAATCCAGAAAAAATGAAAACAATGTATCAAAGAGATATCTATACTTCTATGTTTATTACAACACCATTTACAATAGCCAAGATACAGAATCAAAGTGGCCAACAGCAGATGAACAGATTTTTAATAATGTAGTATATATACACAATGAAAAACTATTCAGCCATAAAAAAGGATAAAAGCATTTCATTTGCAATGACATGGATGGACCAGGAGGACATCATATAAAATGAAAAAAACAGACACTGAACGATAAATACTGCACAATCTCACTTATATGGGGAATCTAAGGTAAAATGAAAACATTCATATAATAGAAGCAGAGAATAGAGCTGTGGTTAGTAGAGACTGGGAAGGGAAGAATGGGGAGAGACTGGTTAATGGGTACAAGTTACAATTAGGAGTAATAGGGTGCTTTGGTGTTCTATTGCACAGGCGGTGTCTAATGTTAACAGTAAGGTAATATATATTACAAAATAGCCAGAAGAGAGCGTTTGAATGTTCTCACTGCAAAGAAATGATAAATGCATGAGGTGATGCTAATGACCTGATGTGATATTATACAACATATATGTGTTAAAACCTCAAAGCATACCCCATAAAATGTTCAATTATAATGTGTCACTTAAAAATTTAAAATAAATTTTAAAAATAGTTTTTAAAAGATTTTCTGTTTTAAAAGACTTTTAAAATCTCCAAGTAAACATGTTTAAAACTAGATGACCTTATTCTTCAGTGAGCTGGTAGCTCCAATCTGAATTTTTCTTTCATTCTTATCTAGGCTCAGAATTGTTGATATATCTTCGATATATCCCTTTCCACTTTTAATTTCTATCTGAGTCTTAACAGGGTTGTAGCTCAGACTGTCTGTGCCTTCAATCTTTTGTGCTGGTAAATATGGTGTTGACAATGATAGATTTCATAGAGACTGGCTAAGAATCTTTAAAGACAGAAGAAATAGAGATAGAGCTACTCATGTTTAAAAGACTGTATCACAACAACCAGCATTTTAGTTTCTACTATGGAATCAAGAACAAAAGTTATGAAAGCTCTCAGACTCCAATACCTGAAGTTCTATGGACTTTCTGGATACATCATTTGACAAAGACAAATGTCATTGTTTTTCGTCTGCTTTTTGCTCACCTTCCTAGTGCACATTTTATTTTCTATAATTGCACCCTTGGCATTCTGGGTACCTGTCACCACCTTACTAATAATGAGCCTCCCTTGGCTGTAGAGCTTAATCCCCTTTAAATTCAACTGGCAACTTGGAGGCTCATAGCATTCATGCCAGCTAAATCAAAGGCTAAACTGGTTGTCTCAAAATACAGTGTAATCATGCCATCTTCTCTGATTGATAATTCTCCACTCCCATTTCTTATAAAAATGATGTTGGCCTGGTTTCTGAGGCCATTAGTAACCTTGTGCTCATAAATCTAACTGATTTATCATTTACACTTCATGCCGTTTCATTCTTACTGCTTCTAAGTTGCTACCATTATTTCTAGTTCCAAGGCTTTGCAAGTATATTCTTTTCCATCTTTCTCTTGCCCCTCCTTCTCTCTACCTTTCCCAAAAGCACTTTTATCAAGGGTCCATTTTGAGTCTTCCCTTCCCCCTGCAATTTCCTCTCCATGTCATATTGAATATACTGACTTCTCTATTTTCCATATATTTATTTGATATTTATTGAAATTGTTACTTGAATGACTACTTTAACTATTTATTCCATGTGAGGCTTAATCACTACAATAAGTGCTTGAAGGGTTTAACACCTTTTTATATGCACCCTGAATTGGCTTAAATGTGGTATTCAGTTATTCCTTGAATAAATAAATAATTGCTAAAAGAAATAGGAACGCTTTTACGTTGTTGGTGGGAGGGTAAATTAGTTCAACTGTTGTGAAAGACAGTGTGGCGATTCCTCAAGGATCTAGAACCAGAAATACCACTTGACCCAGCAATCCCATTAGTAGGTATATACCCAAAGGATTATAAATCATTCTACTATAAAGACATGCACACGTTTGTCTGTTGCAGCACTATTTACAATAGCAAAGACTTGGAACCAACCCAAATGCCTATCAATGATAGACTGGATAAAGAAAACGTGGCACATATACACCATGGAATACTATACATCCATAAAAAAGGATGAGTTCGTGTCCTTTGTAGGGACATGGATGAAACTGGAAATCATCATTCTCAGCAAACTAACACAGGAACAGAAAACCAAACACCACATCAGTGGAAGTTGAACAATGAGAACACATGGACACAGGGAGGGGAACATCACACACTGGGCCTGTTGATGGTTGGGGGAAGGGGAGGGAGAGCATTAGGAAAGACACCTAATGTGTGCAGGGCTTAAAACCTAGATGACAGGTTGATGGGTGCAGCAAACCACCCTGGCACATGTTTACCTATGTAACAAACCTGCACATTCTGCACATGTATCCCAGAATTTAAAGTAAAAAATAAAAAAATTTATAATAAAATATCCAAAAAATTAATAAAAGTGTCAGATTAAAATGAAAAAAAGAAATAACTTTTAAAAGTTTGAGAACCAGATAAATGAACTCAGTATTTGATGAAATTAGATTTTTTTTTTTTAATGAAGCAGAGTGTATGACATGAAAAGGCGGGTGAATAACAGAGAAATGACTTCGCACCCCCGGGCACATTTCTATTTTTGAAGCAGGGAAAGATTAAATAGAGATAATTGGGAGTCACAAAATGTTTAAAAGTATAGGAAGTGAAGATCAGAGAAAGTCATTACTACCTTTTAGGAAATCGGAAAATTGCAGGAATGAGAGAAAATCGGGAATCAACTGACTTCAGCACAAAAGTGGAGGATTGTAATAGAATACCAGGAAACTACCTGCTAAATTTCATGTCTGTGATATGCAAAACACATGTACCTGCAAAGGTAATTTTTTTCTCTACTTCCAAACCTTAAACATGTGGCTTTTATTGGTAGAATCGAAATTAGAACACTACTCCTAAAGAATTCTGAAACATGAAGTTCCCAGCTGGCTTCTAGCCTTTGGTAGCTAAGAAGAAGACGTAAAAGGAGTGAAAATGAATATGGGTTGCTAATACGTGTGTGTATTAATAGAAGTTAGAGCTATGTGTCCATAGATTAAAGATTCCAAAGAAGTAGAAACAAACCTATTACCTCTGAAACCAGCCAGAAATGCTCCAGAAACTGAAAAAGTGGAATGCAGTGAGGTGAATTAGGGACTCAAAAGAGGAAAATGAAAGTCTGTACTTATAGCAGTAAACACCTCAAGTTCCTACTTATATCTCAAACAAAAATGTCACTGCTGGAAATAGAAAATTTTCAGTCTTAAATACTAAATGGTGGCCATGAAACATTTAAGGAATGCTTCAAATCCGCAACACCTAAAAAGGAAAATTCCAGAATAAAGGAACTCCAATAAGCAGAATAAATCTTAAAAGGATTTTTTTTTTTTTTTTTTTTTGAGGTAGACTCTCACTCTGTGGCCCAAGCTGGAATGCCAGTGGTGCAATCCCGGCTCACTGCAACCTCCACCCTCCTGGTTCAGGCAATTCTCCTGCCTCAGCCTCCTGCTTAGCGGGACTACAGGTGCCTGCCACCATGCCCGGCTAATTTTTTGTATTTTTAGTAGAGATAGGGTTTCACCAAGTTGGTCAGGCTGGTCTCAAACTCCTGACATCAAATGATCCACCCACCTCGGCCTCTCAAAGTGCTGGGATTATAGGCATAGACCGCCATGCCCAGCCAAAAGGAATAATAATTTAAGAACAAACTAAATATGGTAGTAAGGCCAGGTTGTAAGACATAGTAAATAAATTCTTCTTCTGAAATGTAGAAGAAAACAAACAAATGAAGAACCATAGGGGAAAAATAGAAAAATAGGGAATCAATATGAAAGGTTTAACATTTGCTTAATAGAAGTTTTAAAAATGTTCACAGAAAATAGGAGAAAATAATGAAAAATTAGCGCATGTATTCTAAAATTGAAAATCATAGAGATCAAGAGACATGATTGCATACCTATTATTTAGAAATACTGAAGTTAATGTCAAAAGAAAATAGCCACCTATGAGTAATGAGAAAGGGAGAGATGAGTTTATAGTCTTTTATTGCTATTTGACTGGCAACTATTACTTTGTAATATTTTAAAAAGAAAAAGTCAAAAAGCTTACTTCCAAGCATATCATCAGGATATATCAGAAAACCATAATAAAAGTCCCAAAACCATCTAAAGGTGATAAAAAAGGCTTTGTGAATAGAATCAGCCACAAAATAGGCATGGAGCTTTTAAACTAGAACACTGGCAGGCAGAAGATAATGTACAATGCTTTAATTTCTCTTGAAATTAATGCTTTATTTTTGAGTGAAAGGAAATAATCTTAAACCTAGGCTTCTATACCTAGCAAAACTATCAATCAACTGTGACAATAGCAAAAACTGTATTTTCTAACTTTGAGTCTCAAACACTTCATCTCACTTGCACTCTTTGTTCAGAAAGCAACCACATTAAAAATAAAAAGGAGTAAGCCAAGACAAAGAAACATATGTGCCTCAGAAATCTGGAATCCAATATAGATGCTAGGTGAAGTCAGCTTCTATATGACCACAGAGGAAATTCCCGGGGTGGTGGGGGGTGAAAAACATGTAATAATACCATAAAGTAGCCATCTGGAATGGATCAGGAAGTTGCATAGCTCTACACGGGAAGGCTGTGGTAAACAACCAAAACAAACTTTTAAAAAACTCCTACCTGATGTTTTATATTATGGAAAATTTTATTGACAGGTATTTGACAAAACCATCAAAATACGTGAAAAGTTTTAGTAACTAACTAAAAATAAGCAAATGTATGAAGCAAGTATTTATTACACTTAAAAGTTATAATTATGTAAGTAGTATAATACAGAAACAAAACAGAATAGGTTGCTTAACATCCTTATTTGCAATAGGAATTATGTTGGAAGTTATTAAATATTGATTATAATATTTGTATTACTTATATATTTAGCAGGTTTATTTCCCCCAGAGAACACTTAAATGGTCAAAAGTTCTTGTATCTGGGGAATGGAAAGATGAGATAGAAAAGTGAAAATAAGGGACTGATTTGTTTTTTATTGTAACATTTTGGTGCTAAATGACATTTTAACATATCTTTACCATTACATTTGCATGTATTAATGATATTTTGATAAAAGTATACTTACAGTGAGAAGATAGTGAAACAAGAAGTAAAAATCATACCAAAATATAGAGAAACATAGAGATAATATAACATAAAAAGGAAAGAACAAGGAAAACATGATTTGAAGACATGTTAAAGAAATAGAAGACAACTGGGAAAGGAAGAGGAAGAAAAAGCCTAAGTATTTGCAGACAGCAGATTCTCAACACTTACACTTTCAGAATAGAATCAGCCTCTCCATCTAACTTCCCTGAATGTCAGATTTCCCAAGGTAATGGTGAACAAAGTCAATGGATTATCTATAGAGAATTTAGTTTAGAATGTGTGTGTTCAATAGCCATCATGGAGCAATTTGGATTGCTCTATGATAAATTCTGATTGCTCTTGGTAAAGACTTACCAAGCCATATGCTAGCAAACAATGAATATTGTAATTGGTCTTTTTGGGCATCCTAAACTATTATTTCCTTATAGAAAGATAGCATTGTACTCCAAAATGGATATACAGTCTATAATGTTCAACTTTAAAATTTACAGCCAAAGGGAGTGTTTCTTCTTCTAGCTTGTGAGGAAGTTCTCCTTATAAGAAAGAAATGTCTAAATATTTATTTATTTATTTATTTTAAGGATTCATGCTTCTTTCTTTTTTATTATTATTATTATTATACTTTAAGTTTTAGGGTACATGTGCACAATGTGCCGGTTAGTTACATATGTATACACGTGCCATGCTGGTGTGCTGTACCCATTAACTCGTCATTTAGCGTTAGGTATATCTCCTAATGCTATCCCTCCCCCCTCCCCCCAACCCACAACAGTCCCCAGAGTGTGATGTTCCCCTTCCTGTGTCCATGTGTTCTCATTGTTCAATTCCCATCTATGAGTGAGAACATGCGGTGTTTGGTTTTTTGTCCTTGCAATAGTTTACTGAGAATGATGATTTCCAGTTTCATCCATGTCCCTACAAAGGACATGAACTCATCATTTTTTATATTCCATAGTATTATATTGCATAACATATTATATTGCATAGTATTCCATGGTGTATATGTGCCACATTTTCTTAATCCAGTCTATCATTGTTGGACATTTGGCTTGGTTCCAAGTCTTTGCTATTGTGAATAGTGCCACAATAAACGTATGTGTGCATGTGTCTTTATAGCAGCATGATTTATAGTCCTTTGGGCATATACCCAGTAATGGGATGGCTGGGTCAAATGGTATTTCTAGTTCTAGATCCCTGAGGAATCGCCACACTGACTTCCACAATGGTTGAACTAGTTGACAGTCCCACCAACAGTGGAAAAGTGTTCCTATTTCTCCACATCCTCTCCAGCACCTGTTGTTTCCTGACTTTTTAATGATTGCCATTCTAACTGGTGTGAGATGGTATCTCATTGTGGTTTTGATTTGCATTTCTCTGATGGCCAGTGATGATGAGCATTTTTTTCATGTGTTTTTTGGCTGTATAAATGTCTTCTTTTGAGAAGTGTCTGTTCATATCCTTTGCCCACTTTTTGATGGGGTTGTTTGTTTTTTCTTGTAAATTTGTTTGAGTTCATTGTAGATTCTGGATATTATCCCTTTGTCAGATGAGTAGGTTGCGAAAATTTTCTCCCATTTTGTAGGTTGCCTGTTCACTCTGAGGTAGTTTCTTTTGCTGTGCAGAAGCTCTTTAGTTTAATTAGATCCCATTTGTCAATTTTGGCTTTTGTTGACATTGCTTTTGGTGTTTTGGACATGAAGTCCTTGCCTATGCTTATGTCCTGAATGGTAATGCCTAGGTTTTCTTCTAGGGTTTTTATGGTTTTAGGTCTAACGTTTAAGTCCTTAATCCATCTTGAATTAATTTTTGTATAAGGTATAAGGAAGGGATCCAGTTTCAGCTTTCTACATATGGCTAGCCAGTTTTCCCAGCACCATTTATTAAATAGGGAATCCTTTCCCCATTGCTTGTTTTTCTCAGGTTTGTCAAAGATCAGATAGTTGTAGATATGCGGCATTATTTCTGAGGGCTCTGTTCTGTTCCATTGGTCTATATCTCTGTTTTGGTACCAGTACCATGCTGTTTTGGTTACTGTAAACTTGTAGTATAGTTTGAAGTCAGGTAGCGTGATGCCTCCAGCTTTGTTCTTTTGGCTTAGGATTGACTTGGCGATGCGGGCTCTTTTTTGGTTCCATATGAACTTTAAAGTAGTTTTTTCCAATTCTGTGAAGAAAGTCATTGGTAGCCTGATGGGGATGGCATTGAATCTATAAATTACCTTGGGCAGTATGGCCATTTTCACGATATTGATTCTTCCTACCCATGAGCATGGAATGTTCTTCCATTTGTTTGTATTCTCTTTTATTTCATTGAGCAGTGGTTTGTAGTTCTCCTTGAAGAGGTCCTTCACATCCCTTGTAAGTTGGATTCCTAAGTATTTTATTCTCTTTGAAGCAATTGTGAATGGGAGTTCACTCATGATTTGGCTCTCTGTTTGTCTGTTATTGGTGTATAAGAAAGCTTGTGATTTTTGTACATTGATTTTGTATCCTGAGACTTTGCTGAAGTTGCTTATCAGCTTAAGGAGATTTTGGGCTGAGACAATGGGGTTTTCTAGATATACAATCATGTCTAAATATTTAATATCAGTTAGGTATAATCCTTCAGTGATTTCCCAGTGCTCATGGGGTAGAGACTCCAAAACAGAATGGTCCCCAGGCCCTGTGCAGTCTCTCCTGTAACTACTCTCTTGGCTTATTGCATGTTTTTCTCTCTAAGCCAGCAATGCTCTTCCTCACTTCAGGGTCTTCTGTTTGTGTATTTTTTTTAATTTTTTTATTTCCATAGGGTTTTGGGGAACAGGTGGTATTTATTACACCAGTAAGTTCTTTAGGGGTGATTTGTGAGATTTTGGTGCATCCATCACCCAAGCAGTATACGCTGAACCCAATTTGTAGTCTTTTATCCCTCACGCTCTTCCCACCCTTTCCCCGAGTCCCCAAATCCATGGTATCATTCTTATGCCTTTGCATCCTCATAGCTTAGCTCCCACTTAGGAGTAGAACATATGATGTTTGGTTTTCCATTCTTGAGTTACTTCACTTAGAATAATAGTCTCCAATCCCATTCAGGTTGCTGCAAATGCCATTAATTCTTTCAATAGCTGAGTAGTATTTATTTATATATATATATATATAATATATATATATGTATATATGTATATATAATATATATATTATATATATATGTATATATGTATATATACACACACATACATACACACACACGTAGCACAGTTTCTTTATCTACTCGTTGATTGATGGACATTTGGGCTGGTTCCACATTTTTGCAATTGCAAATTGTGTTACTGTAAACATGCATGTGCAAGTATCTTTTTCGTATAATGACTGCTTTTCCTCTGGGTAGATACCCAGTAGTGGAAGTGCTGGATCAAACAGTAGTTCTACTTTTAGTTCTTTAAGGAATCTCTACGCTGGTTTTTTATAGTGGTTATACTAGTTTACATTCGACCAGCACTGTAGAAGTGTTTCCTTTTCACTACATCCACACCATTGATTATTTTTTAATTTTTTTGATTATGGCCATTCTTCCAGAAGTAAGGTTGTATTGCATTGTGGTTTTGATTTGAATTTCCCTGATCATTTGCTATGTTGAGCATTTTTTTGTATGTTTGTTTGCCATTTGTATATCTTCTTCTGAGAATTGTCTATTCATGTCCTTAGCCCACTTTTTGATGGGATTGTTTTTTTCTTGCTAATTTGTTTGAGTTTGTTGCAGATTCTGGATATCAGTCATTTGTCACATGTGTAGATTGTGAAGATTTTCTCCCACTCTGTGGGTTGTATGTTTACTCTGCTGATAGCTACTTTTGCTGTGCAAAAGCTTTTTAGTTTATTGTATCCCTTCTTCTCTGCCTAATTATTACACATTCCTTTAAAAAAATCTGTTTTAACATTATTTTTTCAGAGAAGACTTCCTATCCCAACTTCCTCACTTCACCACCCCAGGTCAGGTCTCTTTAACACATGTTCCTAGAAGTTCCTGCACATTTTCTTCAAAGCACTTAACATAATTTATCATAATACATTTTTATGATTATTTGTTTAATAACTTCCAGGCCAATACACTGTTTTGTTCTACCATTTTATTCTTAGATTCTAGCAAAAGAGGTGGCACAGAGTAGGTTTTAAATAATATTTTATGGATGAATGAATGAATAAAAAAATTTGTAATGTTGGAAATTGCAGAATACGATAGGCCTGAGCAAATACATTTTATAATTATTTTATTATTTTAAGGGAATTATTAATCCTAAGAAGAATATTTAATTAAAAAAGAAAGAATTAGTCATAAGATTGAAAAAGATTAAAGAAGTCACTCAGTATTTTTTTTCTTTTCTTATAAGAATACCTAATCTTCATATTCAAGACACAAAAATAGTGAAATATTTTTACTTTTGAAATAGTAAAAGTACTTCTTATTAATGCAGTTAGCTGCCTTTATGATCTACCTTGGACTGAAATTCAATGAAAAGATAATAATGGGATTCCAATTAAAGCACTCTAAAGACTATAATAGAAAGTAAAAGCAAATTATTTTACTAAAACCTCAGTGCAATGTTACAATTGATGGTGGACATTAAATGATATTTCTTCTCATAAGAAAAAAATAAAACCTATAAGCCAAGTCTGTTAGCTGTTGATTCTGAAATTACACAGCAATTTCTCAAACATAGTGATCTGAAAACTACTCTGAAATAAATTGGGTTTATGGCTTTTGCTACATAGGGTGCTTGAAGAACATTATTATGAACTTGTATATTAGTTTTATTTTCTTAGAATGATACACCACTAAATACTACAGAGCAGAAAAGGGAAGAGGAGAAAGAAAATAGATACTCTAGGAATTTTTGAATCCCTAGTTTTTAAAAACAATTTACCAAATCAGAGTTCCATTTATATAATCATCCTCTATTATATAACTGAGTGCATATTGCCTAATTAAAACAAAACCAAAAAAAACTTTGTTAGTAGAAAGGTCCTAGTTGACATTTGCCAACTGTATACATTTTGGTCAATATACTCACTGTATTCAAGACTCAGTTTTCTAATCAGTAAAATAGTGATAGATAGAATCGATCATGAGTAGATTACCTACTTCATGAAGTTTTTTTGGTGAAGATTAAATTACATATTAAAGTACTAGACACACAGTAGAGATTAAAATTCTGAAAAACTTTGAAATTATAGTTGCACTTTGAATGTGAAAAGTTAGGAATAAGAGTTATTTAACCTTTTCATTCCCCTGAGTGATATAATTTTATAATGTCTTTTTTTCAAAGCTTAAATTTAAAGATTTCTTCAGAGTCAAACATAATAATAAAGCATTTATTAATTAACTGAAATTTAAATTCAGTTATAAAGATAAGAACATGTACATTTTTGTTTACAAACAGTATCTTATTTCAATAGAAGATACACAATGTACCCAATTTTCTGGCTTTCTTGAATACTGTTTTGAAAATGGTTTTAATGCTGTGGTCAATAACAGAAGAAATGATTTGTCACCAGCTGTGTTCAATAGCTACAGGCCATTAAAATTATCCTGATAAAATTCTCCATGGGTGTATAAGGTAATACATTTGTCAGACTGACAGATATAGATATAATTTATAGATTTCTAAGGAAGCAAACAAGGAACATGCATAAATATAGATCTCTGCAGAAAGAAGACTATACAAGAACCAATGAGCAGATATATTTCCAATAGACTCTTGTAACATTCTGATGTCTTCTTTGCCACATTTAATTTGACGAAGAATTTAAGCTTTCCATGTTTCTCATTGACTTCTAAAATTAACATCAACTTGGAGAAGGCAAAGACATGATAAACAGCATCTGTTTCACAAAGCTGCTTGGTGGATGAAAATCTGAGAAAAGTATGAGACCGGAGACTCTCTAAATAGATATATCAACACGTGCACACACACACACACACACACACACACACATGCTCATACTAATTTTAAGGTTGATTAAATTCACAAGTCTGTTACAGCTCAGCCACTATTCAAGAGAGAAAAGTTTTCTTATTTGTCAAAGTTCATTTTAGCATCTGATAATTGGTTGGATGTAAATATGTAAAGATAGATGTGAGGTCATCAATCAAATCAATTCAAAAACTTTAACCTGACTGCAGTGAAAAAAGACCTGAGAAATAAATAAGATATATTTGTGGGCAAAAAGCAGAGTGCAGATGAGGCATGTATCTAGATAATTTAAGCAAAATCAATTTTTACAAGTTAAAAAAAATTATCTTGAAATGTCAGATGGAAGTAGGCATTTTAAGGTCTCAGTTATCTAAAGAATTGCTTTAAATTTTGTTCACTGTGTACATGTTTGTGAGACATAAACCTGCAGAAATCTAAAATTGTTCCTTGCACTGTCAGTTGAAGCAAAGAGGAACAAAGCATCTCAACTAAGTCTCTGAAGGTTTCATACTACTTGTATTTATGTTAGAACGCAAATGTACTACGTACCACTTTATCATGAGCGCTCGTGATAACTCAATGCTATTATTCCAGTGCTCCCCAAATAATATTATGAAAGCAAGCAGAAGGAAGGAAGGAAGGAAAGAAGGAATTAAGGAAGGAAGGAAGGAGAAGGAGAAGGAAGGAGAAGGAGAAAGAAGGAGAAGGAAGGAGAAGGAGAAGGAAGGAGAAGGAATGAGAAGGGAGGGAAGGGAGAGAAGAAAGGCAGGGAGAGAGGGAGGGAGGGAAGGAAGGAAGGAAGGAAGGAAATAAGGGAGGGAAGGAGTAAGGGAGGGCAGGCAGGCCAGAAAGAGGAAAAATATAATGAATCAGTGAAGCTGATTTGGTCAGAAGTGAAGCAGCTTTGTAATCAAAATGCTCATAAAAGTTGATTGCTATTCTGTTTTAATCGAGAATCTATTAAGTGGAAAGAAGGTTGGGTTTGCCTTTTACTTTTTAATTATTAGAATGTATTTGGGGGCATTGACACTGTAATTACTGAACTCTCCCCTATTTTTACTGTGTGTGTGTGTGTGTGTGTGTGTATATATATATATATATATATATATATATATATATATATATATATATATATTACAAGTCCCCATAATAATATAAATATTGGGAATTTTTAGTAGTTTAAAAGAATAAAATTTTGGAATTATTTGTTTCACATAGACCTAGACATAAGTTAAAAATATATTAGGGTTGTTATGGCAAAGAAAAATTTTACGTGGTATAAGATGATACAAATGAGCAATGAAGGCACGTTTTAATATTACACTCTGGACAAGATCTCAGAAAAGGCTTCAAAAATCATGACTTTGTCTTGAGAGAGGACTTCATCAAAACTGCTCCACAAAAGAAGGGCGACTAATATATTCTTCAGTAAAATTGTTATTATTGCACCGACCTATTGATAAATTATTGTTTTCAAAATGTGACATATAAAAAGAGAAAAACAACAAGTACATGAATTTTACTTAAAATAATTTTTACACTCACATATAAATGCTCGTTTAAAAAAGAATAGGTGACTGAATTACAGCTGTTACAATCTGAATGCAAAGGTGTTGCATTTTTAGAATTTTATTTTTTTTATTTCCATCAATGTCCAAACTCTGTAAAACCCTGAACAAGACAATTCCCGTAGAATATCAGAAATACAATATGAATTGGCTCTTAAACTAAAAAGGAGACACTTACACTTTCAACAGGCCAGAATTTAAGTTCCCACCAGAAACAATGAAAAAAAAAAAAAACAGATAAAATGTAAGCGTTTAAAAAAATATATTTTAACAAAATTGGACATCAGGCAACGAAAGACAAGGATTCATGAGAGACACAAAACTTCATGAGAGGAGTCTTCAGTCTCCACAGCTGATGGCCAAGGGAGAGTTTTTGTTATGACATAAGAAGGGGAAGCACTGTAGAGCCCAGAGCTCTCTGAGATAAAGCAAAAATTCTGGTTATGGAAATATCCACAATTCACAAGAAAGAATGGTAATGCTGCACGCACAGAGACGTGAAGATCTGCAGTTGATCTCCTTCACGCCTTCAGCTGAGTACTGATCAATGCATACATTTGGGCACATGTACTGAGGCTGCAAAAAGTATCATTAAAAAGAGAAGAAGGAGCAGTCCCTGGGACTTAGTCATGGCTGGTAATCGTTCCTTTTCCCACTAGTTAACGTGAGAAACTTCATAATTCAGAGTATCGCACAGAACACTTGGAAGAGCTTTGTCTGGGTGGTGGGGAAGTTAACTTCAGACTAAACACTGCTCTGGTACCACTTAACAAACTTGTAAAAGCAAGTCTCAAAAGGATCAATTTCCCAGTAAAACTGAATCACTCTAAAATGCTTAAGAATATTTATTTTGAGACGGAGCTGTGCTTTGTCACCGGGGCTGTAGTGGAGTGGCACTATCTCGGCTAACTGCAACCTCTGCCTCCTGGGTTGAAGTGATTCTCCTGCCTCAGCCTAATGAGTAGCTGGGACTACAGGCGCGTGCCACCATGCCCGGCTAATTTTTGTGTTTTTAGTAGAGACGGGGTTTCACCATGTTGGCCAGGCTGGCCTTGAACTCCTGACCTCAAGTGATCCGCCCACCTCAGCCTCCCAAAGTGCTGGGATTACAGGCATGAACCACCACGCCCAGCCAAAAATGCTTAAGAAAACTTATAAGAATACAAAAATATCTAGTACACAATCAGTAAAATTCAATGAAAATGTACTAGACATGCAACTAAGCAGAAAAATATAATTAACAGAAATACTAGGCCATCAAAACCAACTCAGGAAGGACAGGGTGAGGCTGGCCATGGTGGTTCATTCCTGTAATCCCAGTGCTTTGGTAGGCTGAGGTGGGAGGATCACTTGAGCCCAGGATTTTGAGACCAGCCTGGGCAACATAGTGAGACCCTATCTGTACAAAAAATAAAAATTAACCAGGTATGGTGGCAGATGCCTGTAGTCCCAGATACTCTGAAGGTTGAGGTTGAGAATCGACCCCAGGAGCTCCAGGTGGTGGCTGTGATAGCTCCACCAGCACTCCAGCCTAGGTGACAGAGTGACTCTGTCTCAAAAAAAAAAAAAAAAAAAAAAAAAAAGACACAGGTCTTAAGTAGATAATGACATTAAAATGGTTATTATTACTATTAGGGGCAATTAATAGTATATCATACATTATAGTGGATAAGATTTGTAATTTGAAGATATAGCTGTCATAACTGTATAAAATAAAATACAGAAAGAAAAAAAGACTAAAAAATATACAGAACATCGTTGTCTGTGAGACAACTTCAAGCAGTTTAAATAGAATGTGTCAGGAAAGAGGATAAGAGGGCTGACCTAGGAAAAATATTTGAAGAAATGGTGCACAAATTTCCAAAGTTAATAAAAACAATCATCTCCTAGATTGAAAATCTGAATGATTCACCTAACAAAGATCAGAATGACAGCAGACTTTTTTTTTCAGAAACAATGCCAGAAAGTACAGCCACAAAACTAAATTACTGAAATGACTAAAACAAACAAAAAAAGATGTCAGCCTAGATTTCCATAACTAATAAATATATCATTTGGAGTTAAAGATAAAATAAGTACTTGTTACACATAGAAGAGCTAAAAGAAAATAATTTGAGAGGAAAATAATAGATCTTTACAAAGAAATGCATAGAACCAGAATTGGTCATCACATTGGTAAATATAAATAACTATCTTTATGATGATTATTATTTTTTTTTTTACAAATTGGCATCTTTATTTCTCAGTTTGTGGAAATATCCTTAATTTGTTGATGTAGCAACAAACTTCAACTTTGATTGCTATGCAAAAAACAGAAGATAATCTCCTTTGCAATGAACTTTATATAGTTCAACTGCATACAGGCAACATGCTATATATGAAAAAATTACTAACTGAACTACAGGTATTAAATACTGAAAAGAGTTAACAGTTTATTATAATTTATTTTATTTCACAATCTAGGAAGCTCACATCCATTAACAGTTCTAGTGCAATTTCAGGTGCAATTGGGAGCTCTGGAACCTCGGTGGAGCTGTTAGGGTAGCGAACCTTATACATAAAATACGTGCATACTTTTGATAGCACACGCGAAGGTATCTCTCTAAAATTGACCTCATTGGTTTCATTCACAGCAGACTGACCTGGGCCACCCAATGTGGTTTTTATTGTGCCTGATGTTAATGCATGTTCTCTTTTTACAATAAATTCATGGCCATCAGATGATATCAATTTCACATACATCGCATCAGGGCCTTCACAGCCACCACAGGTTTTCTCCTCTCCATCCATTTTGTTCTTATGAAACTCTACTTTGCTTCCCCAGGAACTTCAGTGGTTTCTCATCAGCCCCACAACCACCGCAGCCCAAATATTTGGGCAAATATATTTGGGCAAAAATATTTG
Organism: Homo sapiens; assembly: GCF_000001405.40. Classification (NCBI taxonomy): domain Eukaryota; kingdom Metazoa; phylum Chordata; class Mammalia; order Primates; family Hominidae; genus Homo; species Homo sapiens. Next base: position 10,174,115 of record NC_000010.11, on the reverse strand, counting down.
GGCAAAAGAACTGAACAGACATCTCATCAAAGAATATATACTGATGGCAGATAAGCATATGAGAAGATGTTCAACATCATACATCATTAGGGATTTGCAGATTAAAATGACAGTGAGATACAATTACAAGAGATTAGAATGGCAAAAATCTGAAACTCTGACAACACCAAATGCTGGTGAGGATGTGGAGCAACAGGAACTCTCACTCACTGCTGGTGGGAATGCAAACTGTGATAGCCACTTCAGAAGACAGTTTTCAGCTTCTCACAAACTAAACACACTCTTGTCATATGATCCAGTAATTGTGCTCCTTGGTATTTACCCACATGAGTTGAAAACTTATGTCCACATGAAAAACTACACATAAATGTTTGCAGCAGGTTTATTCATAATTGCTAAAAATTGGAAGCAAACAAGATCTCCTTCAGTAGGTGGATTAACAAACTGTGGTACATCCAGACAATGTAATATTATTCAGTGGTAAAAATAAATGAGCCATGAAGACATGAAAAGACATGGAGGAATGTCTTAAATGCATATCACTAAGTAAAATAAGGTAATCTGAAGAGGATATATATTGTATGATTCCAAGTATACGACATTCTGGAAAATGCAGAACTATGGAGATAATATAAACATCTGTGGTTGCAAGGGAGTAGTGTGGAAGGAAGGATGAAGAGACAGAGCACAGAGGATTGTTTAGGGCAGTGAACTATCCTGTATGATGCTAGTTTGGGGGATCTATGTCATTACATATTTGTCAAATCCATAGAATGTACAGTGAATCCTAATGTAAGCTATGGATATTGGGTAACGACAATGTGTCAATGTAGGCTCATCAATAATAAGAAATATGTTACCATGTAGGGGATGTTAATAATGAAGGAAGTTATGCACGTATGTGGGAGCTCTGCATTTTCTGCTAATATTGCTGTGAACCTAAAACTTCTTTAAGAATAAGCCTACTTTTTAAAAAGAGAATGAACTCTTTAAGTCAAAAATGATAATTATTTCCACTTGTGTTTCTGTATTCAGAAAAAATTAAAAATAAAGATAATTATTTGATTTATAACATATGTATAGGTATATTGATGGTAAGACTAGTTCGAAGAATAGGAAGATAAAAATGGAAGTATGTTGTCCTGGGATTCTTACATGCAAAGTGATATGATATAACATGAATGTAGAATGTGAGGAATGAATTACATATTATACAAATCCAAAAGTAACCACTAACATAACACAACAAACAGTTGTACCTAATGTGGCAACAAGTGAAATGAAATGCAATTATGAAAAATACTCATTTAATTCAAAGGAAGGCCAACAGAAAAGAAAAAAAAAAAAAAAGGGAGGACAAATTAAAACCAACAGAAAAAAGTAATTCCAACTTTATCAATAATTATATGATGTGCTGTCTATACCCCAACTAAAGGGCAGAAATTGTCATATAGCATAAAAAGCAAGTCCTAATTAAAAACTGACTTTACATATAAAGGCATGAATACGTTGAAAGTAAAAGGGTAAGAAAAAATATACCAAAAAATTACCTATGAAAAGAAAGCAGGGATAGTTCTATTAATATCAGAGAAATAAATTCCAGAGTAATTCAAGGATAAATTTCAACATGACGAAGGTGTCAATTCATCTAGAGGACAAAATAATTCTAAATGGTTATGCACCTAATAACAGAGTTTTACAAGTCATTCCGTAAAAACTGATAAAACTACAAAGAGAAATAGAAAAATACACGATTAAAGTCAGGGATTTTAATATCCCACTCTCAATATTTGATAGAATTAAGTGTGCAGGGTATAGGTGAGAATAATGAAGGCTCAAACAACATTCAACCAAGTTGACCCAGTTGACACTTTCAGAATATTCCACCCCAAAATAACAGAATACAGGAATCAGTATCTTTTTTCCAAATATTAGCGGAACAGTTACTAAAAACAAAATAGTCTGGGCCAGAAGACAAGTCTCAGTAAACATAAGGTACTTAAATCATACAAAACGTATTATCGGACCGCAATGAAATTAAACAAGAAATAATAAAAAAAAACTTGAAAATCCCAAATGTTTGGAAGCTAAACAACATACTTCTAAATTATTTAAATGTAAATTAAAAAACAAAAATAGAGATTAGAAAGTATTTTGAAGTCAATACAAATGAAAAGAAAACATGTAGGGAAAAAAAAGTTTCAAAGCAATATTCTCAGTATCTACCTAAGGACAAATTGGAACTAAAAGCCAATGTAAATTATATCCAAAATAAGGAGAAGGAAATAGTCAATATAGAGCAGAAGTTAATTAAATAGAAAACAGCAAAACAATAAAGAAAATATATGAAATGAAAAGGTAGCTCTTTGATAACGCAATAAAAATGATTAACTTCTCTGCAGGAACACAGAGAGAATAGACAAATTAACAGTATCAGGAATAAGAGTAGTGCCATCACCACAGAGCTGATAGATACATTTTAAAAAAAGATAATTATTAAATATTATGAACAACTTCATGTTAGAGTTGTTCTTTCACAACATAGATGAGAAAATTTCTTGAAAGTCTTAAACTACAAAAGCTTTATCAAGAGATAGAGATCCACAATAGCCCCCATGTGTATTAAAGAAGTTAAATTTGTACTTCAAAACCTTTCCAACAACAAAATTCGAGACTCAGATGGTTACACTTTTGAATGCTACTGAACTTTTAGGGAAAAGACCAATTCTGCACAAACACTCCCCGAAAATTGAGAACGTAGTATTTCTGAATTTATTGGATAAAGCCAGCATTATTCTGAGACACAAAGCATATCAATAGAAAAAAAAAGTGCAGACAAGTATCTGTCATGAACATAGATGCAAAAATTCTAAACAAAATCATAGTGTATCAAATCAAACAATAAGTCAAAATGATAACACATCATGACCAGGTAGGATGTATAAATAATACAAATACACTAAAAAAATCTATTAAGGTATTCACCATGTTAACAGATTAAGAAGGACCATCCATGTAAATATTTCAAGAGATGAGAGAAATCATTTGACAAAATCCAATGTCAGCTTTTCATAGAAACTCTCAGCAAACTAAGAGTAGTAGAATTTTTTAATCTAATAAAGACAATCTATAAAAAATATACTCCTATCAATACACTTAACGGTGAAAGACTAAATGCTTATTTTCTAACATCAGGAACAAGGAACTCTCACCAATTCTCATTTTAGCCAGTACAATCAGACTTGAAGAAAAATTGAAGATATCCAGTTTGAAGGGGGAAAAGCTATAAGACTTAAGTGTATTTATCACGGTCACAATATAGAACATGGATATACATAATTAATTGTATTTCTATATACTCGCAACAAACATTTGGAAATCAAAGTAAAAAATACTATCCCAAATAGAATTTTAAAATAAGAAGATTTGGAATAAATATGATGAAGATGTATAAGGCCTGTGTACTAAAATCTAAAAGCCTTGCTGAAAGAAAATAATGATGATTTAAACAAACAGAGAGAAAGATTGTGTTTGCAGGTTAGAAAACTCAATCTGTTATGAGCTCTCTCCAAAGCGATATATCAATTCAATGTGATAATAATCATAATCCCAGCAAGTTTCTCTTTTAAGAATTTCACAAGGAAATTCTAAGGTTTATATAGTAATGCAAATAGCATAGAATAGCCAACACAAATTCGAAAAAGAAGAATGAAGTAGGAAGAAATACACTCTACCTGACTTTAAGACTTATTATGAAGCTGCAGTAATCAGGAGAATGTGTTATTGGTATAAAGAGTAATACACAGATCAATGGAACAGCATAGAGAGTTTAGAAATAGACCTACACATATATGGTAAATTGACTTTTGACAAAGATACAAATTCATCTCAGTAGAAAAATGGATAGTATTTTCAACAAATGGTGCCAGAAAATTTGGATATCCTTACATAAAAAAAAATTGACTTTGATCCATACCTAGCACCACATACAGAAGTTGATTCTGAATGGACCCTAGACCCAAAAAGAAAAGCTAAATATATAAAACTTGTAAAAGAAAAACATAGGAGAAAAGAATCTACATTACTTTGGGTAAGGCTAAATTTCTAAGTACAATGCCCAAAGTATGTTCTATAAAAGAAAAGAATGGCAAATTGTAGTTTATCAAAATTAGAGTATCTGTGTTTTCAATGGTACTCCTAAGGGAATAAAAAAGTCAAGGTAAAGAGTAGAACAAAGTTTTGCAAATCACATTCACATGTGATCAAAAAGATCTTATGTCCAAAATATATACAAAACTCCTAAAACTCAGTAATTAAAACACCGACAATTCAGTTAAGAAATGTAAAAGTTCTATACAGACAGAGACTAAAAAAGATGAGTGGAAAATGAATGCTTGTAAAGATGTTCAGCTCATTGGTGGTCAAAGAAATGCAAATTAAAACCACAATGCAATAACACTGCATACACATCAATTGGAATGGCTAAAATGAAAACTGTGGCCCAACAAAATGTTGATGAGAATTTAGAAGAACCAGAACATTTATATTTTACTGGTGGGAATGAAAATGAGACAACCACTTTGGAAAATAATTTGTTGATTCCTTAAAAAGTTAAACATATATCTACTATGTGATTCAGCCAAACAATTCTAGTTGTTTGACTGAGAGAAATGAAATCATATGTTCATAAAAAGCCTTTCCCAAGAATGTTCATAGCAGCCTTATTTAAAATAGCTCAACACAGGAAATAATACAAGTGTCCATCAGCAAGTGAATGGTAAAACTTCTATATTTATAAATATCTATTTAACAGTATAAAGAAATGAACTACAGATACATGCAATGATATGGATAAAATTCAAAATAATTATGCTGAGTGAAAGAAGTTAGCCCTTCCTTCTCAAAGGTGCATGCTCTTTGATTTCATTTATATTAAATTCTAGAAAATGCAAACCAATCTATAGTTATAGAAAAGAAATCAATGGCTGCATGAGGATGAGGAGAAGAAGTAGAAATAGGTTGCAAAGAGGCATGAGGAAATTTTCAGTGTGGTGGAAATGTTCATTGTGTTTATTATGGTAATAGATTATGATGGTTTCAAGATGTATGGATATACCCAAAGTTATCACATTGTTCACTTTAAATTCATTTAGTTTATTGTATGTAACAGCTAAAAAAGTTCATTAGAATGTCTGAAAAGATACATAAATAATACGCTTTGAAGTTACATCCTTCTGTATCATTCATGGATTTGATAACATTGACTTGCATGACAAGTAGGTCAGAGACCATCACTAGCTCTGGAGGTCAATCTTGAGCTATATCCTCTATGTATGGCTGCCACCAAGAGTTCCACCAGAGAGAACTGGAAGATACTGAAGGTGTGAGCAGGCAAAGGTCAAAAAGTGAATTGCTAGTTTGTCATAGGAAATTAAAAAGCAATATATAGCCTAATTCATGCCTGCAAGCAATCAGTCAGGAGAAATAGAAGTAAAATGTCCAAGGCAGTTATAAGTTAAGGGCCAATTGTGTGGCAACAATGATTTGTACAGCAGACTTTCAAAACAGTAGAGAATTCAGACCACAGAAAAGGCAAACAGATAAAATAAGGGATTTATTAGTTGAAATGTGAATTGAACAATGTTTAAAATTTGAGTAGTATTTATACAAATAGGGATTGAGAGCAAATTGTGTAGAAACATCAGAAAATGAGGCGGAGGAAGACAGAGAGAGAAAATTGAATTGGCCCTTCTGGTTAAAATTGAGTTTGACTATTGGGTATGATAGACAGTAAATCTGAAAAGGGAACTTGGGATATATTTCAGGTCAGACAGTAGAAATTGGATTTTATCTGGTGGTTAATGTTCTCCCAATTTCTTGCACAAGATGTCTAGCTAGGGTGTGCAGAATACCCTAAAGAGATGAAAGGCTGAAGATGAGGGGTTAGCTAAGTGGCTACAACAGCAATCCAGGATAGGAAGGCACTGACAAAGGCCTGGTCTTTAGTGGTATCAACTGCTGACTCCTTCAAAAGACCATCAAAACAATACATTGATAAAGCAAAGGTAAGTTTATTGCTGACTGCTTTAAGAGAGGCCACTACCTTGATAAGATTCTTAGTAGCATCTGAGAGGAAGGAGAGAAATAGATATTTAAGAGGTTGTCTTGGGCAGGATGCTGGTAAAGCAGGTCTGTAAGTGGTGTTGGGGGCTGATAGGGCTTGAGTATAGATTACGAACATAATAGCCTGGAATTAATGGATGAAGCCAGTGAGGGTTTTAAAACACTCCTGTAAAGTACAAAGTTTTTTGATGATCTTCGTTAAGAAATCTATTGGCCTGAGAGCTTCTTAAAGTTGTTTGTTGATTAGGTAAATGAATTTTGCAGAGATCCTGGAAACGAAGTTATTTACAACTTCATCTATTTAAGAATGTCTTAAAATAATAAAGGCATGTTAATGTACATAGTTGGATAGTATAACACATTCACATTTACAGTAAACATTATAATTGGTGGTGGTTTTTGGTATTCAACAATGGTAATATTAATAGTTAAGTAGAAGAAAGGATTATCTAAGAAACGATAGGATTTGGCAGCCAATTCTATAGAGATAAAATGAAAAGGGCAAATTTGGATGATCAGGGAGTTGACATTTTGAAAACACTCAGCAAAATTTAATTTTAGAATTTAGGTAAAAAGAATTCACAAAGAAAAACATTGAGGACAAATGCTGTTGATTTAAGTGGTATTGTTTAGGTATTCATTAACTCTTCACAATTTTATGCATCCTCACTACTATAATTGTAAACGCATCATAGTCATGTTAAATCACATTAGGAAAAAATAGGTATATTTAACAAAATAAAAATAAACGAATTTGGATGCATTACATTTCAAGTCATTTGTATAGCTTAGATGTTTATTGTGAAGTCTTTGTATCTGTGATTACAAAGTGAAATCTCTCTTTTGTGACTGCCTGGGTGATTTTTCCTGTATTAACTAACTGAAGGCTCTTGTGTTAAGTTAACTGTGACTTTTACTTCTCTAGATTTTATATTCCTTGAGGATGAAAAATAAACAAACAAAAACCTGTACCAGACAGATTTAAACAGGCAAGGAAGACTATATTCAAAACTATGGCAATAGGGGATAGAGATTGAACTAATCTCTGCCAAGCAAACCAAAGCCTGGACTGGAGGATTTTTAAGCACTGGGATGAGCTAGTGCAAAGGTCCAAGAGGATGTTAGGGGAGAGGTTAGTCAATGTACTTAGGACATCTCTTTGCTAATGGTCACGTATTAAGCCTACCCTCCCACAAAGAGACAGAGGCACTATCTCCTTCAATGATTACATTTCAAAAAATGGCTCCCAGGTCCTTGAGAAGACATTCCTGGGTTATAAAACTTCAAGAGTCTTAGAAAAGATTTACATCTCAAAGAGGCAGAGAAAGAAGTTACAATTATGAGTTTTCTAAAGTCAATCTTCTACGAAGAAGTAGGTCATGGGAGTGTAGTCATGAACACACCTGTCTTAAGTTTAGCCAATCTAAGGTAAATGTTAAAGTCTCTTCATCAAGGGCTGAAACCTTTGTAGCTAACATTCACTTATTCCTCTTTGCAAAGATCAATGCCTTCTGCATATCTAGTGTTCAGTAAACATATATACACGTACACACACACATATATACACATATATGTATATACACACATACATATATATGGATAAATTGCTATAAATATGTTACTACATATATTCTACAAAAGCTAGATATAATTAATAAACAATGCCTTTGTGCTACTTTAGATATTTAAAGTTATTTTAAAACATTGGAACATAGGCTTTAATCCTACTGGTTTTTCCTTAGATCTTCAAAGACTCGGTAGTTGTTAAATGTTTAAATCAGCTTGAAAGATAAACATCTTCAAGGATCTGGGTCATCCTTTGCTATCCCCAAGCCCGTTGTACTTCATAACACAAAAATTCTGTCTTCTTTCTAAACCAGAAATGACATTTTCAGTTGATTACATATAAGAAAATTCAATCTATTCTTTTTCAGTTTGAGGGTGTTGGAACAAGTTCTTTGAAAAAAAACAAAAAACAAAAAAAGAATATATAATTTCCCTGGTTCCTTTTTCTAAATGCATCATTTCCCTTCCCCCAATCAGTGAATTCCAGCTATTAAAGTCTTGCTATATGAACCTAACAACTGTATGTTAAAAATTGTTTCCAAATCTATACAAACCCTTAACACTTGTGCTTAGCAAGTATGTGTTTGTGTGTGTGAGAAAGACAAATCAATACTATTTTAAAGACCAAATTTATTGAAGTCTTAAAAGAAAAACTCCACCCTTAAGATTTACATAAAAAATGAATCATGCAAATGAACTCAAGTTTGCAATATTTGTAACACAAAGATTTCTGTCAAAAAACAGTTGGAAATAACATGCTGTTTGCGATGTAATTGTTACTATTCACTAAAGCAGAAAAGGCAAATGCAGAAAACTTAAAGGCTGACAAGCTAGTCATTTAAAACTACAGGTTGTCTTAGGAATGACAATGGTTTTGAAATTCAGCTCAACCCATGCAGAGAAGTTGCTAGCTCCAGATATTGGAGGATATTTAACACTTTCATTGAATATGTTTTTTCCTTTCTTTTTTCTTCAGAACCTTTCAACCAGCCAAGGAAATCTGAGCCAGTTTATTATAGTCTATGAAATATTCAAATAGGCACTGGTCCTCTTTGCAAAGAGCTTCTGGAATTTGAGTTTTTAATGAGGGTATTTGTTTAAATGTGTATAATCCACAGAGCTTTAAAGCCCAGAAACGTGTTGCTTCTGCTAGAAAAAAATAAATAAATAACTGAAATATACATCTATATATTTGTTGTGTATAATTGTTAATAGACGCATATTTGCATAAGGCTTTTCTTTTTAATGTTCTTATAACAAAGTCGATATTTTGAAGTTGGAATTGCCCTCATTGGAGAGGCTGACATCAACGATTCTTGTGCCCCTATGTCCTCTTTTGTTTGCACTACTTGTCAGCAACAAATCATCTCTCCTTGACTAGACTTTAGTCTGACTTCTCTGAGCCCTGTTCTCCACTAGGCCTTCACTTGGGCTTTGTGCTTGCTGAGCTTCCCTAGCCCACTTGAAGCAAGAATCCTGTTACCTCAGATTGAGAGAACTCCCCACCCTTGACATCTGATCACCTTTAATATCTGATCCAATTCCTTATCCCTCACCATGCCCCAGGTGACATGTGATCACCCTGGCCTGCCTTCCAAGAGAATCCTGTTAGGTTAATTTAACAAGGTTCTTTCTACTCTGTTGTAATAGTAATTTTCTGTCTACCAACCACTCCTCAACCTGCTCCTTGGCTGTAAATTCCCACTTCTTTTCTTTTTTTTTAATTTATGAGAAGGAGTCTCTCTCTGTTGCCCAGGCTGAAATGCAGTGGCATTTTTATGCTTCAGAATGGCCTCAAGCCTCAACCTCTGGGGTTCAAGCCATCCTTGCACCTCAGCCTCCTGAGTAGCTGAGTCCACAGGGATGTGCCCAGCTAATAATAATAATAAAAAAAAATGTAGAGACAGGGTCTTGCTATCTTGCCCAGGCTGGTCTTGAACCCTTGAACTCAAGCAATCCTCCTGCCTTGGCTCCCAAAGTGTTGGGATTACAGGCACAAGCCACTGCACCCAGCCCCCACTTGTTCTTGATATATTTGGAATTGATCCCAGTTCTATGTGTCAATCAAGAAAAATGATGAGACAAGTCTCAATTATTTTAGGAAGTTTATTTGCTAAAGTTAAGGATGCACTTCCAGGAGACAAGTATAGGCCTTTCTCTGAATATAATTTTGAGGGCTCCCAATTTAAAGGGGAAAGGGTGGGATATTGAGAAGTATACATTTTTCATGTAAGGGCGGTAGGGAAAAACAGTCATTCATGCTTTTGTCTGGCCCAGTGAATCTGCATTTTTTTTTTACACATAAGATGACATAGGAAAATGGAACAGAGGAAAAATGCAGAGAATCTGCATTTTTTATATAAGACAAGATAGATAAAATGGGGCAGGGCAACGATCAGATATGCATTTGTGTCAAGTGGGCAGGGGTGACTGCATCTGTAGAGATAAGCTATCAACTTACACTGTCACGGTGAAATTTTTAACAGAAACACCTTAGGGTAAAGATCTTGGAGCTCACTAGCAATTTCCTTGTAGGCAAAATATTTTGGGGAGGTGTGTAGCTTTTCATCTTGTAGCCGTCTTATTTAGGAACCAAAAGGGGGAGGCAAGTTTGTGTTTGCATGACCCAGTTCCCAGCTTAACTTTTCCCCTTGGCTTTATGAGTTTGGGGTACCCAAGATTTATTTTCCTTTCTCATATGCCACTGAAGTATTTTCCCCAACTGTAATTGTTCCTGAATGAAATCTGTTTTCACCACTTGAATAACTATCTGGTTCTGGGTTTCTTTAATGTCCTCACAGGCCATCACACTCTTGAATGAATTTGGCTTCTTTATGCCTTTGTTTGTTTGTGTTGTAGCCTCTGCAGGGATCTTCACGAAGTTCTGTGTGGCTGGCCAGTCAGGCTTCAGCTCCTCTCTTTTGGATTTTGTGGCCCGATTGCCCACAAGGAAAAGATCAAGGTACAATAGTTCACTCTGATTAATTCCTCTTTTCATGGCTTTTTCTTACCTCATGTAAGATACAATGAATTTCTCTGAGTTTCTCTTCAAAGATTTAGCCTGCTAACTTCCTTGTCTTTTGTTCCCAAACTCAACTTTCTTGTTCCTCCTTGCCCCTAGTTACTGTTAAACAGACTACCCCCTTCCCATCAGCTCTAATGAATAACTCACATCTGTTCCCTTGGTTACCTGCACCCACTGTTCCCCCAAAACTACACATCTCACATGCTTCACCACCGTACCTCACATCCCCCTTCCCTTCCATATTTAGAAAAATATTTGCAAGAAGGCAATCAGCTTAGCTCAGATTGTGCGGTCTGACCCCAGTCCATGGGGGAGTGACACAGAGGTAGGGACTACCATCAGAGATAAAAGCTTGATGCTCTCCTTTGTTCCCCGTGCTCTTGCCATCTTGATTGACGTGAGTGGCACCCTTCTGCAGAAATAAATTTCCTTGCTGAGAGAACTTTTGGCTGATTGCTGGTTTCAATTTGCAGCACTGAGCATTTATTCCTAGAACATTTTTATACTCAACACTAATGTTTGAGAAACAGGTACTCAAAGACCAGAGACAGAATACTTACTGGCTACTTCCTCCCCCTCACCCCCATCATCCGTGTTAGCCTGAACTTAAAGGTAATTCTAATACCACCTAACCCAACACCATTTCCCAAAAGAATAAACTGAGACTCAAGATTTTGTAGCTCTACTCAATGACAGTTTTATGATTAGAAACCAACTCCTTTTAATTTCAATTCAAGGTTTCTTCCCCTAGAGCACATTGAAGGAGTGCAGCCAATTTCACCTTAAAATATGGCTCCCTGGTATAAAGAATATTTTGATATGTCAGAGGCGTGTGAACCAGAGCAACTAAATCTTGAGTAGGAGATGGGTAAAATGAGGCTGAGAACTACTAGGCTACATTCCCAGATGCTTAAGGCATTCCAAGTCACAGGATGAGATATGAAGTCAGCACAAGATACAGGTCATAAAGACCTTCCTGATAAAGTAGGTTGCAGTAAAGAAGCCAGCCAAAACCCATCAAAAGCAAGGTGGTGACCAGACACTGCTATACTCCCATCAGTGCCGTTGTGTCCAGAATTGGTGGGTTCTTGGTCTCCCTGACTTCAAAAATGAAGCCGCGGACCCACGTGGTGAGTGTTACAGTTCTTAAAGATGGTGTGTCTGGAGTTTGTTTTTTCAGATGTTCAGATGTGTCCAGAGTTTATTCCTTCTGTTGGGTTCGTGGTCTCGCTGACTTCGGGAGTGAAGCTGCAGACCTTCCTGGTGAGTGTTACAGCTCTTAAAGGTGGCACATCTGGAATTGTTCGTTCCTCCCTTCTGGAGTTGTTTGTCCCTCCCAGTGGGCTTGTGGTCTTGCTGGCTTCAGGAGTGAAGCTGCAGATCTTCATGGTGAGTGTTACAGCTCATAAAAGCAGTGCAGACCCAAAAAGTGAGCAGCAGCAAGATTTATCACAAAGAGCAAAAGAACAAAGCTTCCACAGTGCAGAAGGGGACCCCAGTGGGTTGCCGCTCCTGGCTACGGCAGCCTGCTTTTATTCCCTTATGTGACCCCACCCACATCCTGCTGATTGGCCCATTTTACAGAGGGCTGATTGGTCCATTTTACAGAGAGCCGATTGGTCCGTTTTACAGAGAGCTGATTGATCCATTTTGACAGGGTGCTGATTGGTGCATTTACAATCCCTGAGCTAGACACAGAGTGCTGATTGGTGTATTTACAATCCTCTAGCTAGATGTAAAAGTTCTCCAAGTCTCCACTAGATTAACTAGACAGAGAGCACTGATTAGTGCATTTACAAACCTTGAGCTAGACACAGAGTGCTGATTGGTGGGTTTACAAACCTTGAGCTAGACAGAGAGTGCTGATTGGTGTATTTACAATCCTT